>NC_000002.12:104156284-104459314 GCF_000001405.40 Homo sapiens
GTCATTGAAGAACACTGATTATGTTGTGACACCAGAAGTCTGAACAATAAGTGTTATGCATAATATAGTAAGTGGTATATGCATATAAAATATGTGTGATATATATAAATATGTAACATGACAAAATGTATGTAATATATTAATATATAAAATATAGGCAATACATTGAGAATCTGGGTCTGTGGTCAGTAGGTGAGATAACTGGGAATTAGAGAGAGCAGGAAAGAACAGTGGACAGTGAGGAGGTCATTTCAAATGCAACAATGGACTGATGAAAAATAACACAGAAGCCAGGTGATAGATTTCCCGACATATTAAGATATGAGCCAACAGTTGTGTCATGTGTCACCCAGCATCTAACCTAAGTGTCTCCAACTACAAGATGGGGATAATGGCCTGAAGACTACAAAACATAATGTAATATTTGCCAATATTTTCCTCCGTGGTAGAAAGAATGTTACATTACATGCATCCAGTACAGCACAACTATTTCACAGTAGTGATTCTATAAAATCTCCACACACAGCAGTTCTCCAATTATCTTTGCGAATGAATGAAGTATTTACCACCATAGGTCTAACGGATTTAAGGTCTAACTGTATCCAACACTAGGCTTGATACAAAACACTAGGATTAATACAAAACAATTACATGGATACAGTTTCCCCCATACTGTTAGTCCATACAGGAACTGTTAGGGTTTTCGAAATCAGCAGAACCAATAGGAAATATATATAAAAATATATATATGAAAGGGGAGATTTATTATAGGAATTGACTCACAGGATTATGAAGCCAAGAATCTGCCATCTGCAAGCAGGAGAACCAGGGAAGCTGGTGATGTAATTCAGTCTAAGTTGAAAGGCCTGAGAACCAGAGGGAATGCTGATGTGAATTCTGGGGTCCAAAGACCTGAAAACAGGAGCTCTGATGTCTGAAGGCAGGAGGAGACACATATCTCAGCTTAAGAAAAGAAAGAGCAAATTCGCTCTTCTTCCACTTTTTTATTCTACCGGACTCTAACTAGATTGAATGAGGCCCACCCACACGGATGAGGGTGATCTTCTTTAGTCAGTCTACTGATTTGAATGCTAATCTCCTCTGGAAACACCCTCACAGTCACACCCAGAAACAATGTTTTACCAGCTATTGGAGCATCTCTTAAAGCAGTCAAGTTGACACATGAAATTAACCAACATGCTAAACTAGCTAACGTGACAAGTATGCACACAAAAGCCAGCAGTGAGGTAAACAGAATAACATCCACATGTTGAATTTTCCAGTCTCCCAGAATTATTGTACCTTAAAAACATTTGCAGGAGATTAATAGGTAAAGAGGTCACCTATCTCCAAAAACACAACACCTAATTGCGCACTTATTTATTCATTTCTACATTGATATATTTAGCTATCATCACTGGGTCCCTATACTAACGACCATGTTAAGCACTGTACATGTTCTAAGTGCTGTTCGCAACTAGCCTGGCTTTATTACTGTTTCTCTTATCTCCATGAAAGGATATCTGTCATAAATTACTATTTCCTAAGAAATGGATCCAACCTTTAGCTTTCAGAAATTTGTTTATTGTATAAGGTATAGAAGGACAGTTAGAAAAAATGAATAAGATTCATTTTCTATAATTCAGAGCTTATTACATTTGTTAAAGAAATCCCTGCTTCCCCAAAATACCTACTCACTATAAGTAGAGGCATAAACATTCCAGAAACTATCTACTTTTCCTGCAGGTAACTTCAGGATACGAATGTGCCAATTTTGGAGTCATCTGCATCTTGAAAATGCTACCTTGAGGCAAGAAAAAGAAAATGTTTATGTCCTAAGAAAAGCAGTAGGATTGTTAAATGCATATTTTATAGATCAGGAAATAAGGTCTAGGTCTGTCATTTTGAATAAAAGCAAGTTTCTACCCTGTGTTACTATTGTTGGTTCTCTCTGGCTTTTCCTCTTGAATGGTGAGAAACTCATTCGGATTCAGTCCACAGGGGATTATGACATGAAGCATTTGCTCCTGGGCAGTGAAGTGTAAGCAAGTCCAAATGTTTAGCATGGTGAAGGCTGAAGGATGTGGAGCCAACTACATCATATACACTGTAGGCTCCAGGGCAGTACAGCCCATGTGACTTCATAATACCCAGGAGTTTGCAATCGCACAAGCTGGGAAAAAAGAGAACAGAACTTTTGGGGATGAGCGCATAACTTAGCAATGCTGAGGCAGTAAGTCAAAAGTTAGTGTTTCCAACTTCAGAAAATGTATCGTTTATTTTATCCTCCATGCTCTGAGATTCTGCATGTATATTTACATCACTGAAAATGAACATATTAGGATCACTAAATATCATGACTGATTTTTCCAATTTGCTGTGCAAACCTCCAAAGGATCTCAGCCATACATTACTTAACCTGAACTTTTGAAGTTTAGTATTATAAGAGAAATTTATTCCATATGCTTCACAGTTTATTGTGAATAAACATGCCTCCCACATTCCACAAAATACACATTTTTCTCACTTCCAACGTTTAAAAAATAATAAAGAAAGGGTCTTTTGAGAATGGTTGGAAAGTATTGAAAAATGAGTGGAAGATTTTTTTAGGTATTAAACAAACTATGTGATTTGAAAAACATATGCCTTGTATTTTACCCATTGTTCTTACAGGGAAATTCAATTTTCAAAACATGTTTTTCTAACAAATGAAAGTAGGGTCTAGGCAAACAAACAAACAACCTGGTTAAAGTAATAATTGTTCAGAACCGTTAAGAGAATACTAAGAACTTCAATAGTGTACAGGAAATCATATAACTAATAAATACATTTGAGTTTTGAAGCTTTATTTTGCTTCAAGATTGCAAATGTTTTGAAAAATACATTTCAAAGCAGAATGTTGAACCCTTTTTATTGCAAAATAGTGTCAACCTCCTTGATAAAACTGATTAACCCATTTCCTCCAAAACAATATTTTAAAATTTTTGATTGGGAATATTTCCTTTAGCAGTGTTCACATTTATTTGCTTAAAATCATTAAAATTCTTAAAGTAACTTTGAGTCAGTTATGTTAAATGCCATGTTTAATTATTTTACCTAAATTAAGTGGCTTTCTTTTGTTGTTTCTAGATGTTTTAAAAAATATTTAATTTGAAATGTCATTAGAGGACTTTTCTGTTGTCAAATGATCATAAGAATTTTTAAAACTATCATAATATTAAAAAACACATACTGAGTTTTCCTAATGTAGTAAAATATGAAGGCAATGATATAAAACACACTATCTGATCATTTTTCTGCTTTGAATTATTATAGGTCAACTTTACAAATAATATTTTATTTTGTCAACTAAAAATATGATTTTAAAAATATAAGCATTTCTGTGAAATTTCTTTTTGTACAGGAGAAAAATGAGCACATTTCTAGTTTTGCTCTATATGCCAAATTTCAGCCCAGAGAGAGTGTTTATGGTTCAGATATAAAACCTCAGAAATATAAATGTGAAGACAACCTTAACTACAGTGTTGCAAATGCAATGTTGTAATTTTGTATGTTAATCTATCAATACACGGCATGTGCAAACATATGTTTATAGACAGGAAGACAAGAATATACAAATAAGGAGATAAAATTCTTGTATCTCATTTGATGCTCTATAATTTCTATCAATGTATGAATGTTTTCTTTTTGTGTTATGATTTCATTTGAAGTTGACATAATGCGACTTGTGCTTATTTGCAAAGGCCTCATCACTAACATTCTCAAAGCTGATGCTGCCAGCCTGCTCAGAAGATGGGGAAGCAACTTTGCCTGCCGGGACCATTACAGCAGGCAACGCTAGGAAATCAGAATATTGTGCAATGGGAAACTTTGGAGTTTTTGTTTTTGTTTTTGTTTTGGTAGGCAGCACAGGTATGCATTCAATTTTATGAACACATCTGGTTTATCTACATTTCTAAATTTGGCCCTTAGGGTTCACAGCAGAAAATTTGTGGCAAAAGAAAGATAAAACGGTGCTTCAGCAGTCTTCTGCCCCGCTGAAGCAGCCCAGCTCATTTGCTAACCATTACGAAACTGAAGCGAAATTCAGGGACAAACAAGACAATTTATTTTTTGAAGAAGCCGCCTGTGCCTCTGTTGATGGCATGGTCCCCACCACATGGTCCTCAGCCAAAGATTAAAGAAGGTCTGAGGTTGTGTTTGCTTCTTTTCTTGTGTTTACTCAAGTTACAGCAACATTTTGCAAAACATTTAGGTGAGGTATGTTACGGAATTAGCAGATGGCTTTAATTTTCATTTGGGATAGTAAGGCATATTCCAATTTTCCTTACTAATGTGATGGATGAGTTTTAGGAAGGTTTAAAGTACTAAATTCAACATCGATAGTTGCAGAAAGAATGCAAATTTTTATTATTAAAAGCTAGTATCAGAGTTTTTATGAGCTTTTGGAAGAAAGGTTTAGGAAAGTATATGGTAGCAAGGTTTATTATTTTTCAAATTTTATTTCCAGCAGACAGAATCTTGAGGATAAAATTCTTAAAATGCATTTTGTTTTCTTGAAAAATATGTCTAAAATAATTAAAGTTGATTTTGGGCTTATTTTTCCATAATAAACCTGGCTTTTTTCCAATGATAAAAGAAATAGGTATGCACTGTGAACAATTTAGACCAATACTAAGCCTAAACAATAAGAATTAAATAATAATAGAATTCCATCCCCCAAATATGATCACCACACTAACGTGTTTTTTCTAACCTGTTTCTATGTACATATATACAACACACACATTTTAAGAAAATGGTATCATTCACTTTTTGTAACCTCTTTTACATTTAACTGTGTGAAAAATATTATACGTGGGGGCTTATGTTTATAAACATACACATGCCTCCATGGCAACAAATATAAATTTATATTCTCAACTTTATTTTCTAAATAAAAACTTATTTTATAGAGATACAGTTATTTAAACATTCCTCTATCATTTGATCTATAAGTTTACCTCAATGTCTTGCTATTGACATTGTATTCTAGTATTTTTTCATTCAAAAATAATTTATTGTTGATCTCTGTTTTTCACTTACAATCTTCTTCCTTGTCCCTATTTCTAATAAATAATTTGTCTTCTTCTGATTCATTTGTAAGGGTTTTAAAATATGATGATGATAAGACTTTATCATACACACCTGTCAATTTTCTTAAATTTTAATTATGGTGTCACTTTTAGTCACATATAATTTTTTTAATGTACTGAAATGTATCTGTGGCTTTTTATTATAATTATTGGGGGAAAAAAAGCCTTTCCATTTACACTTGTAAAATTGAAGTATTTTGACAGTTATCAGAAAAAAGTTCACTCCATTTACATATTGCTATTCATGTTAAATATAGTTTTACTAGTTGGTTCATTAACTCCAATAACAGTTTTATGATTTATTGTTTAATCATGTTCTTTGTCGTTTACAAGGATAGTGAAACTCACACCTAAAGTTAGCATTCATTTCCCAGATTATAAAATGAAAGATGTCTGTACAAAATAATTGTTAAAAAAGATACTTAGGATCTCACAAATCCCTGTAGGGTCACCTCCAGACTTCAGTAGTGTGGATAGCAAAATTCTTGTACCTCTTGGTGTATTCATTTAGCTATTTTTTTTTTAATTAACAAATATTTTCTGAGTGTCTAACAGGCACTGACCCAGGTATAAGCTACCTAGAAGCAAAGGAATGTGGACATGATACCTTTATCAATGAAGCTAAAATTATTGGTGATGGAAAGAATACTAAAATTAGAGTTACCAAAACAAAATAGTTGTAATTGTTGACAAGGAGAGGCAGGTCCTGCTTGAGATTATAATTGGGGAACTAACCTTAGTCTGGGGTGATCAGAGAGGGCTTCCTTGAAGAGGTGATATTTCATTTCAGCTGAGACATGAGAGATGGTTTAGAATTGGCAAGGTAAAGAGGAAAGCGGAGTATGTTCCAGGCAGAAGCACAGGCACGTGCAGAACCAGTGACATGGAGAAGAGACTGGTACAAAAATGCTCTGAAAATAACAACTTAAAAAAAAAAACTAGATAATTCAAAGGCATGACTAAAGGGCAGAGTTGTTGTGTGCGATGAAGTTGGAAAGGCAGTGAGTGGTGGAATATGTAAGGCTTTGCTGGCAGTGGTGAAGATGTTGGCTTTAGGCTTGTAGCAACTGGCAGATGGTGTAGACGTCTAAGGAAGGACACTCAAGGTAACTGTTCCAGCAGGAGTTGGGCAAAAGAGATAGAGGTTAGGAATTCATATTTTGGCATGTAGATTTTGAGATGCCTATAACATTATACTATGTCAGAGGTGACCTTCATTAAATCTAAAATTGGTGACTGGATTTATGGATCTGAATCTCTGAGGGAAGGTCTAGAAGAGTTATTCTCAGCTGAGAGCAGTGCCCCCTCTCCCCAGCAGTACTTGATAATGTCTGGCGACATTTTTGGTTTTCACAACTGGGAGAGAGGAGGGTGTTTTTGGCATCTAGAATGTAGAGAGCAGGGATACTACTAAATACCTTACGAGACATATCATAGCTACTCACAACAAATAATTATGTCTCCCAGAATATTGATAGTGATGAAATGGAGAAACCTGGATGTGAATCTGTAAGTCCTTAGTTGGTGTTTGAGGTTATATAGGAAAATAAGATCACTGAAGACCAGAGTAAGAGGAGAAGAGGACCAAGGACAGAGTCATAAGAAACTAATTGTTAAAAGTTGAGAAGAGGGGACATCTTCAAAACATTGAAGAAAAAAACAACCCGGGCCTGCACGGTGGCTCACTCCTGTAATCCCAGCACTTTGGGAGGCCCAGGCGGGTGGATCATGAGGTCAGGAGATCGAGACCATCCTGGCTAACACGGTGAAACCCCATCTCTACTAAAAATACAAAAACAAAATTAGCCGGGTGTGGTGGCGGGCGCCTGTAGTCCCAGCTACTCAGGAGGCTGAAGCAGGAGAATGGCGTGAACCCAGGAGGTGGAGCCTGCAATGAGCCGAGATTGTGCCACTGTGCTCCAGCCTGGGTGATAGAGCCAGATTCTGTCTCAAAAAAAAAAACAAAAAACAAAAAAACCCGGAGATGTGGCAGCAAAAATGGTGATCCTGCTACGATTTTTATTGAAATCAATTGCATTATTTATCTATTGCTGTATAGCAAATTACCCCAGAATTTAGCTTAGCATCTTGCAACCATAAGCATGGATTGCCTCACACAATTTCTGTAGGTCAAGAATCTAAGACAGTCTTGTGTGGGTTGCTGTGGCTCACAGTCTTTTACAAGGCTTCAGATGAGTTCTCTACTAATGCTACAATCTTCTTAAAGTTCAGCAAGGGATGGGAAATCTGCTCCCACCTCACTACTGTGATTATTGGCAGGCCTCCACTCCTCACCAGAGGTTCCAGTACCCACCACAGGGGCCCCAAAATGGGTTGCTTAAAGCATGACTGCTTGATGTCATCCATCATTGCTGCTATTCATTAGTTAAAGAGTTGCTAAATCCAGCCCACACCCGAAGGGAGCAGAATTAATCTCATCTCCCTGAGATTCTGTGTTTCTTCTATGGAATGCTTACTTGAGAGTACACAGTAGACATCTGGCCAACCAATAAGTTGACTCAGCCTGGGTAAGGTGTTAACTCCAGTCACATCCGCTCTGATGAGCAAAGTTTTTTAGTCCAAACATGTTGCAGTGCTTATCTCAGAAAAAAAGCAGTTTGCTCTGCTTTTGAGGGAAGCAGTTTTTAGGGAGAAGTGTGGCCTAGGGAGTGGTGGTTGTGTGTCAAAGGAAAAAAATCAGCTGGATCTGGTAGAGAGGAGTCAGTTTCTTTAACGTATGTGCTGCCCTTCACCCTCTGCAGTTCTATGTGCCCTTTACACTCTGCAGTTAGCTATAACCAGATTTCATGAAGATGTTGGCTTATATTCTATGTGATTTTTTTTCTGTGGAAAAAAAGAGTACTAATGTCTGACTTTTGCAGCAACAATTAGTTTACCAAGATCTGATAAAGCTCAACACATTAGTGCAAACTTGAACATTGTCTAAAATATTAACTGATTATTGACTTTATCTGCCAGTGAAAAAATTATTGCCAAAAATACAGATTTTATTTTTCTCAAGTGTACTTAGTAAATGACATTATATGCCACTACTCACATTGGCCCCGGGCTAGGAATTTTAAAGCATTTCCTTTCACTGGACTTGAGTACTAGACACCAGCTTGAGTTCATGTTAAAGAAAAAATGAATTTGACCTATGCCTTCTTCACAGGCTATGACAATCTACTCAGGCACCATTATCATTAGTTGATTATGTATTGACTGCTTATCACATATACCTCTTTTTCCCTTTCTTCCTCTGTCTTCACACAATATTGGAAATTGAACTTTTATTCCTGAGAAGAATTTAGAGAGTTGGCATCTGGTTATGTGTGGGCATTTTTACACTCTAAGTTTTTATTGAGGAGGCTTTATAAAAATAGTTGTTTTAGAGAGAAGTGGATTCATTACTGTCATCCCCATTGTAATGGAAATGTCTACAGTGAGCCTTATCTTCCCACAGAAATGTACCTGGGCCACAAAAGCCACTGAGGAACTTGGAGGCAGACTCTGTGTGTTGGCAGAAACCCATAGCATCTCAAACATTCACAGCAGGCGCTCTTTGGAATCACAAATGCTGACCATTGGCAACTTATTTGTGAAAATAGCTAATGCTAACTCTGCGTTTGTCTCCCCTCGTCTCCGCAGGCCGTGCGGTCAGTATGGTGGACTCCTCAGCCTCCTCGGGGCTAGGTGACAATGTTAACAGAGTCCTTCACAAAGGACTTCACAAAGGCTATATCTGCAGGATGCTTTCACTCTAGGATTTTATTAATATCACTGATTTATATTAATATTAGAGCATTAAAATGTGAAAGAGACCAAAGCAATTTTTAAAATTATATGCTAATAAACTAAAATCGAATTACACATTTTTTTCCACACTTAAACCAATGTTATCAGTATAACAAGGCACACACACACACACAAAAAAACCCTAGGCTAAAGTGAAATATTTACTGCAGTAATCACTGTTAAAAAAATACAAGACTCTTATGAACTCCTGTCTTTCCGGAACATGAAGTAATTTCTTTGAAATAAGCAGTTCTCATACCATTATTTCATATCATCTTACAATCCAAGGACTTGAAAAAGAATCTCACCAAGATTAAAGACTAAAAATAATTTAAAATACTGACATTGAAACTGACTCATTTTTTTGCTAACCTCAGTTATTAAATAAGCGAAATATGTATCATCAAGCTAAAGCCTCATTATATTCAGAAATCTCATCCTAAAAGGAGATTGTCATTCTGACTAGCAACAAGTGACTAGATGAAAATGCACTGAATTGTAGTTACTGAACTTTGCAACTGGCTACCTTTACCTGATTTAGCCAAAATACACGTTTGTGCTTAATTGTACATCTCATGTTTAGATTCATTCAATATTCATTCATTTATGTTTGGTTGAAGTAAGATAGAATCTCTTAATGACGAGGTAACCAGTGAGGCTTGTTTTCCTAAAAATAATTTCAGCCTGTACAAGGATAGACTTTAGCAAATCAAATTTTATTTTCTCAACAATCCTATGCTTATATCCCTTGCATGCCCTTATGCTTCCCTGAGGATCTTATCTAAATGAGATAGCCACAGAGGCATCTTGCATGGTCAGTAATTTTAATGGGAATCTGTCTCTTCAAGAATCTCAAAACTTTACAGATTCTCCGTAGCACCATTGAGATGTTGGGAAAGTGTTCTTGTCACAACTCTAAATCTAGAAAAGCTGGGAACAGCAAGGGGAAAGTAAGTCCTCAAGGTCATTCAAGGTTAGCAAGCAAGACTTGAAATCTAGTACTCCTGGCACCTACTCTGCAATTTTAACCAATATGCCATCTTGCTTATCTCTTTCTGATCTGCCTAATGAGCAGCTGTCGAGCATTAAGCAAAATCATCCCATCCCTGCTAAAAATACACTGTATACGCCAATTTTCAAAAAGGAAGCCAAGGAGACGATGTATAGTTTTCTGTGTCCAGGTGCTTTATTCAGTCCCTGGTCTTTATTTAGTTCTTGACGCATCCCAATATTCGTCCTGTTTGCTGACACTTTATGACAGCCCCAGAAGTCACTGCTGCTGGGAGTGGTTGCAGATCATTCCACATTCATGATTTGAAGGAGAAAACATACACCAGGCACAGGAAGTATTTGCAGAGCTGGAACCTGAACAGGATGATGTTCTAAATGACAGGAACATCCTTTATCAAACATCACACTATTTCAGTTACAATATTCCTAGAAAATTCCAGAAAGGAGCAACATGGATAAGTATAATATTTGCGTATAAAAGAAGACTTCCCCTTTTTAAATTTACTTCAATCTTTTCTCTTTTATTTAATGTCAAAGTTAGCACCCAATTCACCTATTCAATACAATATAATCCTTAAAAATGGATAAAAGTTTCATCCAAATATTTCAACAATGAACTCAAAATAATTGACTTGTCACTATAATTATTCTCCACATTTTAGGAATGCATCTTTGGGTTTATATTCAAAGTACTTTACAAATATATTTTAATATATGCAGTATAGTAATAAGTAACCTAGAAAACACTGGTTTAGGCTGTATATACATCAAAGTATATTTAAGCAATTTTTTATACATATGATACATAAAATGAAATACCTTCTATTAAACTCATTATATATTCAAATTACAAAGTGCTCCTCAGCTTACTGTAGATTAATAATTTCTTTCATGTTATGTGTCATAAACTATGACATTTTACATTCATGAGTTAGACTGTGGTAGTTTTAATGATAAATATACAATAGAGAAATTAAATTGAGATACATAACGTAACTCATCACAATTGCAACCAGGAGATGAGCTAAAGTTCGCTAAATAAACATTGAGATAGAGTTTTGAACAGGCAGATGCTGAAAACTTGGTATTATTAGAAGAACCAAAAAAGGAGGGGCCTGAAGACAGTGAGTGTCTGCGCGTGTGTGCTTTCTAAGAATAGGAGAGCCAAGATCTTTGGCCAGGAGAGGAGAAATGTAAGGAAAAAGCAGCTCAACTTGTGTGAGTGAAACAAGATAGAACAGTCATTTTATACAAGCTAGTGGTTAAAAATAAAACTGAAATATATTAGTAGAGTCTTTATTGTATTTTGCAGCAAGACCAGAGGGAAATTGCAGAATTAATTTGTGAATGGCTTCACTCTTAAATTCATGAAAGGAACTTCCACATTTATCTCTTGGACCAGTCTGTAAAGTGGGATCATGCAGGTATTTACAGCCAGCTGTATGTTGATTTGCATAAGGAGTCCAAGACTGTTTAAAGCCAACGCTCACTGAGGAATACTGATTATTGCCAAAATTATGTGAAAACAATAACGCTAATTGCCAAATGAATTAAAATTATGAGGTGCCTGTTTGATACATAAAACAATAAATCTTGAGTGTGTTCAGGTGAGAGTATATATCTGCAAGTTATACCATACAATACAGTATGGCTTGTAGTTTAATTTTATTAACAGCGTTTTCAATGATTAGGAGATTTTAATTTTGAGAAAACACAATTCATTGTTTTTTCTTTAATGAATTCTGCTTTTGCTGCCTGCCTTGGACCTTTTTTTTTTTTTTTTTTTTTTTTTTCGAGACGGAGTCTCGCTCTGTCGCCCAGGCTGGAGTGCAGTGGCGCGATCTCGGCTCACTGCAAGCTCCGCGCCCCGGGTTGACGCCATTCTCCTGCCTCAGCCTCCAGAGTAGCTGGGACTACAGGCACAGGCCACCATGCCCGGCTAATTTTTTGTATTTTTAGTAGAGACGGGGTTTCATCATTTTAGCCAGGATGGTCTCGATCTCCTGACCTCGTGATCTGCCCGCCTCGGCCTGCCTTGGACCATTTTTGCTACTATAACAAAACACCTTAGACTGGGTAATTTAGAAAGAACAGTTCTGGAAGCTGGGAAGTCTAAGATTAAGGTGTGAACAGATTCAGTGGCTGATGAGGTCCTACTTGCTGAGTCCTCATGCGGTAAAAGCAAAAGGAGCTAGGAGCTTCAACATCTTTTACACGAGCACTAATCTCATTCAAGAGAATGCAGAGTTCATGACTTAATTACTTCCTCAAAGGCCTTCCTTCTTAATACTATCACAATAGGTACTGGGTTCCAACATATGAATTTTGGAAGGACGCATACATTAAAAACATAGCAGAGTCATATCTGAGAAATCTTTGCCTAGCTCAAAGGCTTTCTCCTACTTCGTCTTCTAAAGTAATTAAAGTTTTATATTTTTAGATCTATGAACAAATTTGAGTTCATGTTTATACGTAGCATGAAGTAGAGATTGAGTTTCTTTTTATTGTTTGCATGGAAATCCAAATATTTGTTGCAAAGGCTACTTTTCTCTATTGAATTTAAAATATATTTATTTGTTATTTATGGAATCATTTTATAATTTTTCATGACTACATTTTTGGAAAATAAGTGAAATACGTTGAGAAATTTTTTTAAGTAATAGTCTTTTTGTTGATATTCTTTATTTTAGATATCATTGATTTAAAATATGTTGGTGTCTTGCGACTCTTTTAAACATCTTTTTCAGGCATAATTGACATATAAATTTCATATATGTAGGTAGTGTGATTTGATAAGTTTTGACATATGCATATGTCAATGAAACTACCAACACGTTCAAAATGACAAACATATCAATCACCCTTTTGTAATCCCCCCCTCCTCAACCTCCCCACCCTATCTCCAGTTAATCACTTATCTATTTTCTGTCATATAGATAATTTTACATTTTCTAAATTTTATGCAAATGGGATGGCAGCATATGTACTCTCTTTTGTCTGGGTTCATTCATTCAAAATAATGAGTTTGAGATTCATTCATATTGGTAAGTACATAAAAAATTCATTTCTTTTTCTGCCAATTAGTGTTTCATTGTATAGAGATACTACAACTTATCAAGCCATTAACCTATTGATACACATGCAGGTCATTTCTATTTTTTGGCAATTACAAATACCATTGCTACGAACATTTAAGTACAAGTCTGTGTAGACATATCTTTTATTTATCTTGGAAAATTACTTGGAAATAATTAGCTAGGAATAATAGCTGAATCATATTAATATAATAGATGTCTACCTAACATTTCAAGAAATCGCCAGACTATTTTGTGAGGTAGTTATATAATTTTACATTCCCACCAGGAATGTATGAGAGTTTTGGTTTCTCCATATTCTTGGCAACACTTAATACAATCAATATTTTAAGTTTTAGCTATTCCAGTATATGAACAGTGGTACATCATCATGGCTTTAATTTGCATTTCCCTAGTGATTAATGATATTGAGCATCTTTTCATGTTGCTATTTGCCATCTTTATATGCTCTTTAGTAAAGAGTCTAGTTTATTAAACTGTTTTTCTGTTGTTACATTTTGTGTCTTCAAATACTTATTCTAGCAAGAAGTCCTTTGTTGGATGTGTAATTTGCAAATAGTTTTAACGTTCTGATGCTAAGTTTTTTGGTCTCTTAACAGTGTCTTTAACAAAGCATTTTGTAAAATTTGGTTGAGTTCAGTTTATCAAATTCATATTTTTTGGATTATGCATTTTGGATCATGTGTGAGTACTTTCTGCCTTACGACAGGTTACAGAGATTTTCTTCTGTATTTCCTCTAGAAGTTGTATTGTCCTATATTTTAAATTTAAATGTAAATTTTTACTTTATGTGTGAGGGTTAGGACAGCATTCCATTTTAAAATATGGATTTACAGTTGTTCCAATGGCATTTATTGAAAACAATATCCTTCTGTATTGAATTGTTTTGCACCATTGTCAAAATGGGAAGAGGAAGATAGGATGCAATAAACAGGTTTCCTATTACTCTAAGTACAGCTAAAAACTCTGGACATTAAATTGAAAGAAGCAAAGGATTAACTCTGAAAAATAGAAGAATACAAACAGCTTGAATCTTAAGACCGAAGGAGTGAAAATAACTATGAGTTTATTGGGTTTTCTTTCTGCTTCATGTATCCCAAAATAGGTGTTGGAGAAGCTGGCAACCTACAGATGCCAACAGTCAAAGAAGAAAATTATTCCCAAGTAAATCTTCCTTTCTTTAGCCAAAGGAAAGGATAGCTTTGCTTTACATCACAGGAAATTTGCAAACAATAGCCACTCTACTACTGCCAAGTACCAACATAAACACTGTGACTACACCCTCCACCTCTGACAGGAAAGGCTGAGTGGAGTCCCTAGACTTCTACTCTCAGAGGGCTATAACAAGGCCTCCAGCCCTGTCTCTGAGGCCAAGTGGGTACCTGGGACTTCATCCCTGTGAGACCATAATTAACTTAAACTTCCACCCTAGCTGTCAGTACAAGGTGGCACTTTTCCCCCAAACCTCTTCACCCACCAGAGCATGTCATACAAGGTCTGATAAGAAATAAGATTTATATACGATGCAGAATCTTATAAAACTCAAAAATGTCCAGGTCTCAATTGAAAATAACTCATTATACTAAGAACCAGTAATATCTCAATCAGAATGACAAAAGACAGTCAACAAAAAGCAACAAGAGGTGACACAGATGTTAGAATTTTCTGACAAAAATGTTAAGCACATTGTAAAAATATAGTAAGTCTTCACAAAACATTGTCAACAGGTTCTTGGAAACTTTGACTTTAACACAACAAAACAACTTATAACAAACCAATTTTACCATAAGTTAATTGATATAAATGAGACTTGTTTCTACTGTATATTTCTGGTCACAAAAATATCACCAAACTTCTAAATAAAGAACAAAGGCTCCAAATATTAAACACTGAAATAAATGTGAGTGATACATACACTGAAGAGAGATTTATAAAAAAAAGTAAGATCATTATTTATGCAATTATTTCAGTTCAAGGTCACGGGTGACCAGAGCCCATCCAGGCAGCTCAGAGTGCAGTGCAGGAACCAACCCTGAACAGGACGCCATGCCATTTCAGGGTTCACTCACACACACCTACACTTGCTCCAACAAGGGCCACTGAGACACACCAATGAACCTAACCTGCACTTATTTGGGATGTGAGAAAACCCAGAATACCCAGAGAACACACACAACGACAGGGGAAGAACATGTAGACTCTGCATAGACAGTGGTCCCGGCCTAGAATCAATTTTTTTTCTCATTGTGATGGTTAATATTGAGTGTCAACTTGATTGGATTGAAGGATGCAAAGTACTGTTCCTGGGTGTGTCTGTGAGAGTGTTGCCAAAGGAGATTAACATTTGAGTCAGTGGACTGGGAGAGGCAGACCCACCCTCAATGTGGGTGGGCACCACCTAATCAACTGCCAGAATAAAGCAGGCAGAAGGTGAGAGAAGCAGACTTGCTGAGTCTTCCAGCCTTCATCTTTCACCAGTGGTGGGTGCTTCCTGCCCTTGAACATCAGACTCAACGGGTGGTTTACCAGGGCGTCTGGGGCCTTCAGCTACAGACTGAAGGCTGCACTGCCAGCTTCCCTACTTTTGAGGTTGGGGACTCAGACTGACTTCCTGACTCCCCAGCTTGCAGATGGCCTATTGTGGGACTTCACCTTGTGATCATGTGAGTCAATACTCCTTAATAAACTCCCCTTCATATGTACATTTATCCTATTAGTTCTGTCCCTCTAGAGAACCCTGACTAATATACTCATCAATGTTATAATGAAATAATGTTGAACAAAACAATGTTAACAAGGGCCTGCTATTCTTTAAAGAGAAAATACATACGTAATTCAAAGAAGTGAGAAATAGACTGTCTGAGCAAATAAATAGAAAATGCAAAGAAGAAGCAAATGGAAATTTTATAATTCAAATACCATAACAGAATTTAAAAAAAAAAAAAAAAACTCCTTGGATGGGCTGAAGAGCAGAATAGAGAGGGGAGAGGAAAGAATCAGTGAACCAGACCATAGAACAATATAAATTAGCTAGTCTGAACACCAGAGAGAAAATAAAATGAAAAAGAAAAATGAGCAGAGCTTCGGGAACTTGTGGGATTACAACAAAAGATAGAATGTCTGTATCCTCAGAACTTCAGAAAAGGAGCAGCAGAGTAGGACTAAAAAAGATTAGAGGAAATATGGTTTTATTTCACAGAAATAATGGCTTTTCCAAACTTAACAACAATAAAAAAAGGTTAACCTATGAATTCAAGACTACCAAAAAAAAAAAAAAAAATGAAGCAGGGTAAGCCCAAGGAAATCCACACCAAGACACATAATAATTAAACTTTTGAAAACTAATGGCAAAAATAAAATCTTGAAACAACCACAGGAAAAAATGTCAGATAACTTTTTTTTTGGGGGGTACAATGGCGTGATCTCGGCTCAGTGCAACCTCCGCCTTCTGGGTTCAAGCAATTCTCCTGCCTCAGCCTCCTGAGTAGCTGGGATTACAGGCATGCACCACCACACCAGGCTAATTTTGTATTTTTAGTGGAGACAGGGTTTCTCCATGTTGGTCAGGCTGGTTTCAAACTCCTGAAAATGTCATATAACTTTTTATAAGGAAACACTAATTCAAATGGCAGTGGATTTCTCATCTGAATCATTGGAGGCAAGAAGAGAGTGGCTTAGTTTGTTTTAAATGCTGGAAAAAAAACCCTGTAAACCACAAATTCTATAACTGGTAAACATGAATAAAGACATTGTCAGATGAAGAAAAACTAAGGTAATTTATTGCTAACAAACTTGCTCTTAAAAAATAGTTAAGCTCTTTAGAGAGAAAGAACATGATAACAAAAGAAGTCTTAAAATTACAGAAAGGAAAGAATTACATTAAAATGTTTAAAAAGAGGAGTATAAATATAGTATCTTTCTTCTTGTAGGTTACTTAAATCATATTCAATAGTAGAAGCAAAAATTATGAAAACATCTGATATTTGTCATTGAATTATATTCAATGTATGCAGAAGAAATGCTTAATACAATCATGTTTTTTATATGGAGAAGGTAAAGTAATGTTTCTAAACTTTACTCAAAGTGAAAAAACGTTGATACAGGTAGACTGTGTAATTACATATGTACATTTTCATACGTACAGCAACTTGTCTTCTGGCTAATTTTATTTGTCAACTTGACTAGGCCATGCTACTGACATATTAGGTCAAACTCTTCTGGATAATACTGAAACAGTGTGTTTTCAGATGAGGTTAACATTTAAATCAACAAACTTTGAGTGAAACAGATTTCCCTCTGTAATGTGAGTGGGCCTCATTCAGTAAGTTGAAGACCTTAAGAAAAAGACTGATATCCCCCAAAAAAGAGCGAATCCATCAAGAAGACTGTCTTCAGACTCCAGCTGAAGCACCAACTCTCTCTCTCTATATATATGTAAAAATTTTATACATATATTCATACACATATATATGTATGAATTTAGAAAAAACTCATTGGATGGGCTGAAGAGCAGAATAGAGAGGAGAGAGGAAAGAATCAGTGAACCAGACCATAGAACAATATAAATTAGCCAGTCTGAACACCAGAGAGAAAATAAAATGAAAAAAATAAATGAGCAAGGCTTCAGGAACCTGTGGGATTACAACAAAAGATAGATACAACAGCACATACACACTGAAAATAAAAGAACTGATTATATAAACAATAATTAAAAATGAAAAAGTGACATATTAATGTCAGAATAAAGTAAATTCAAAACAAAGAATATCCCTATAGAAAAAAAGAGAGATTATGTAACAGTAAAAAAATAGAAATAAATTATTAAAAATGTGTGCATACATACAAGCACACAACAGAGCCTCAAAATACACTAAACAAAAACTAAGAGTTGAAAGGACAAATAGACAAATAGACAAATCCACCAACCTGTTTAAGGACTTCAACATCTCATATCTCTCTCCTCTCTCTCTCTTTCTATATATATATATATATATATATATATATATATATATATATATATACACACACACACACATATACATATATATCAATTTCTCAATATATGTATCAAATATATATATCAATTTCTCTATCTATATATAAATATAGATATATATAAATAGAGAGAGAGAGGAGAGAGAGACTGCTAGAGACAAAGATTTATGTTATGAAATTATGTTAAAGAATTGGCTCACCTGATTGTGAGACTGGCAGGTCCAAAACTATATATAAATATATAGATATAGATATCTATATATAAATATATAGATAGCTAGAGAGAGAGAGAGAGGAGAGAGACTGCTAGAGACTAAGATTTATGTTATGAAATTATATTAAAGAATTGGCTCACCTGATTGTGGAGACTGGCAGGTCCAAAACTTGCAGGGTAGTCTAGAAGCAGTCTAGAGACCCAGGAAAGAGTTAATGTTTCAGCTGGAGTGTAAAGGCAGTCAGCTCGATGAATTCCCTATTTTTATGGGAGGAGCAGTCTTTTTCTTATGGCCTTCAACAAAATGAATGAGGCCCACTCACATGATGGGGGAAACTGTTTCACTCAAAGTTTGTTGATTTAAACATTAACCTCATCGAAAAACATACCTTTTCAGTATTATCCAGAAGACTTTGACCAAATATCTCAGTAATGTGGCCTAGCCATGTTGACAAATATTAATAAAATTAGGCAGAATGTTAGGTATTGGTACGTTGCTGTAGGTATTAAAATGTACATATGTAATTTATCATAGTCTACTGGTATCTACATTTTACCACTTTTAGTGAAATTTAGAAGTATTAGCTTACCTTCTCCTTATAAAAAGTCTACTTATGTTAAGTATTTCTTCTATAGTACCATTTCATGTGGTTTTATAATTTTTGCTTCTACCATTTTTATACACACACAGACACACACACACACACACACACATGCTGTTTCTCTGCAGAACCCTGACTCCTACAATTAGTAAGAAAACTATATAAAGAATCAAAACATTACAAATTAAAATGCAATTATAACAAATATCCATGCAACCCACAGGTAGGTAAGTAGGTAGAGAGACAAAAAATAAAAAAAGGAAATAAATAAAAAGTAAATGCTAATAAAACTGATTTAGCTTTAACATACAATACCTATCATATGGCAGAAATTGATAGAATGAATAAAAGAAACTGAAACACATTCAAGTGTCCCTACAGAAAGCTCACTTTAGATACAACAGCACATATACACTGAAAATAAAAGAATTGATTGTACAAACAATAATTAAAAATGAAAAAGTGACATATTAATGTCAGAATAAAGTAAACTCAAAACAACGTATATCTCTACAGAAAAAAGATAATATGACAGTAAAAGGAAAAATAGAAATAAATTATTAAAAATGTGTGCATACACACACACACACAACAAAGCCTCAAAATACACTAAACAAAAACTAAGTGTTGGAAGGACAAATAGACAAATAGACAAATCCACCAACATGTTTAAGGACTTCACCATCTAATTCTCAACAATTAAAGATACTAAACAAAAATTAGCAGGAATATGGAAGAACTAAACAACAGAATCAAGCAATAGGATGATACATCTTTTTTTTTTCAGTGACACTGGAATGTTCAGCAAGATGAATCAAATCCTGGATTATAAAACAACCCCCAACAAGTTTAAAATAATTGAAATCATGCAGCATATTTTCTCTGATCATAAAGCGATCTGCTAGAAATCAATAACAGAAAGACAAATGAAAAATCTCCAAACATTTGGAAATTAAATTACAGACTTCTAAATACATCATTGATAAAAGACAAATTCTCAGAAGCAATAAATAGAAAATACATAGAATTAAATGAAAATGAAAATACAAAAGATCAAAATATGCAGAATGCACCCAAAGCTGTGTTGAAAGGAGAATAACAGCACTAAATGCTGCCACTATGAAAGAGGCAAAGTTTCCAAATCACTAATCTAAGTTCTCACCTCAAGAAACTAGAAAAAGAACAAAATAAAACCAAAGGAGACAGAAGAAAGGAAATAACAGAAATTAATGACATTGAAAACAGAAAGACAATGGAGAAAATAAATGAATAAAACGCTAATGCTTAAAAAATCAATAAAATTGATAAACCTATTGCAATATAAGGAAAAAATAGAAGACAAAAATAAACATGATCAGGAATATAATATTGGATATTTCTGCAATCATTTAAAGGATAATAGAAAAATATGAATAATTTTATGCTCATAAGTTTGACAACTTAAAAGAAACGTATCAATTTCTCAAAACCCATAAACTACCAAAACTCAACTGAGATGGAATAGACAACCTGAACCATCTTGTAATCATTAAAGAAAATGAACATGGACATATAATTTTTAAACCGCAGGAAAAGAAATCTTCAAGTCCAGAATAATTTACTGCAGAATTCAAACAGTAAATAATAATTAATAAAAAGTTTACACAATATCTTTAAGAAAATAGAAGAGTGAATATTTCCCAACTCATTTTATGAGGATTATATTACCTTGATTCAAAACCAGACAAAGACAGTCCAAATAAGCAAAACTATGGGCAAATATAACTCATGAATTTAGACACAAAAGTCCTTAATACAGTATCAGTAAATCAATTCCAGCAATGTAGTTTTAAGAGTATACATCATGACCACATGGAATTTATTACAGATAAATTCTTCAACATTAACAAACATTAGCAATGTGATTTACCCTATCAACAAGCTAAAGCAATTTGATTTTTAAATAAAATTATTAAGCAAAAGTACTTGAAAAATTTAACACTCAAGTATGGTAAAATTTCAAGTTAGGAATAGAGGGAAACTACTTCAGTTCATGAGGAATATTGGCCTGTAATTTATTTTTTCTTTCAGTGTCCTTGTCTGGCTTTGATAGCAAGGTGATAAGGATCTCATCAATTTGAAAATTGTCCTTCTTCAATTATTTTAGTAGAGTTTGAAAAGGATTGGCATTAATTCTTCCTTAAATGTTTGGTAGTATTCACTAGCGAAGCCAGTAATTCCTGAACTTTATTTACTTTGTTGAGAGGTGTTTGTTTAGTGATTCAGTGTCCTTACTCTTTATTGCTCTGTTCAAATTTTCTGTTTCTTCATAATTCAGTCTTGGTAGGTTGTATGCATCCAGAAATATATCCATTTTTCTAGGTTATACATACAATTAATTGGTGTAAAATAGTTTATAGCTGTCTCATATGATTTATATTTCAGGTATCAGTTGTAAGGCCTCCTCTTTCTTTTCTGATTTAATGTAGTAATTCTCTTTTTTTCTTAATCCAGCTAAAAGTTTGTTGATTTTGTTTATCCATTAAAAATAAACTCAGTTTATTTCATCTTTTAAATTTTTCTAGTCTCTGTTTTGCTTATTGCTGCTCTGATACTTCATATATTCTCCCTACTGCTAACTTTGAGCTTAATTTGCTTTTATTTTTCTAGTTTCTTGAGAAGTACTGTTAGGTTATTTACTTGATGTATTTCTTCTTTTTTTGATGCAAGAATTTATTGCTATAACCTCCTCTCTTAGAACTGCTCTTGCTGCATCGTATACATTTTGGTGTGTTGTGTGCCTCTTTTCATTTGTCTCAAGATATATTTTTTAAACTTACTTTTTAATTTCTTCCGGAATCATTGGCTGGTCAAGAGTATGTTGTTTAATTTTCATGTGTTTCTGAATTTTCCAAAATTCCTTTTGTTATTGATCTCTAGTTTCATATAAGAGTAGTCAGAAAAGACATTTTATATTATTTCAATCATAAATTTGTTAAGTTTTGTTTTGTTGCCTAAAATATGCTATATACTAGAGAATTTTGTTTTTGTTTTTTTGCACTGGAGAAAAATGAGTATTCTCTTTTGCTGTTGAATGAAATGTTCTTATATGTCTGTTAAGTCCATTTGATCTAAAGTGTAGTTTAAATCTAGTGTTTCCTTATTGATTTTCTGACTGGATGATATATTGACTATTGAAAGTAGAATATTGAAGTTCTGTACTATTGTATTACAGTCTCTCTCTTCAGAACAATTAATATTTGCTTTACATATTTAGGTGCTCTGATGTATATAGTACATGTGTACTTATAATTGTTATATCATCTTGATGAAGTTATTCCTTTACCAATATATAATAACATTTTTTGTCTCTTTTTATAGGTTTGAATTAAAGTCTATTTTATCTGATGTAAGTATAGCTACTCCTGCTGTCTTTTGGTTTTCATTTACATAGAATATCTTTATTTATATCTTCTATTTCAATCTATATATATCAGTAAACAGGACCCAAATATATGTTGCCTATAACACACTTATTTCAGTCTGTTATATTTGGGTCTTGGGTCCTGTTTTTTTTCTTTTTAAATGTATTCAACCATTCTATGTCTTTTAATTGGATAATTTAGTACATTTATATTCAAGGTAATTATTGATAGATAAGTACTTACAATTGCCATTTTGTTCATTTTCTCATTATTTTGCTGATCCTTTGTGCCTTTCTTCCACTCCTGCTGTCTTTCTTTGTGGTTTGATGATTTTCTGTAGTTGTATGCTTTGATTCCTTCCTCTTTGTATTTTTTTTAGATCTCCTATACATTTTTGCTTTCTGCTTACCTTAAAGTCTACATAAAACTTATTATAGTTATGACAGGTTATTTAAGCTGATAAATTCAATCACGTACAAAACTATACTGTTACTACTTTTACCTGCGTTTTATCTTTTTGATGTCACAATTAACATTATTTTGTATTGTGTATCCCTTAAAAATTATTGTAGATACACTTATATTAATAGTTTTGTTCTCTAACCTTTCTATTAGAGATATGTTATTTACATGACACTCAAAGTTTTACCTTATTCTGCATTTGATAATATACTTACTTTTACCAGTGATTATTATATTATTGTGAATTTTCTTATTACTAATGAGATTCCTTCTGTTTCAGCTTGAAGAACTTTCTTCAGTATTTCTGGTAAGATAGGTCTAGTGATATGAACTCCCTGAGCTTTCATTTGTTTGTGAAAGTCTTTATCAATTTTTCGTTCCTTAAGGACATCTTTCTTTTCTCAGTGAACTATTACTGGTTAGCAATTTTTTTTCTTGTTGCGCTTGGAGTATATCAACCCAGTCTCTCCTGGCCTGCAAAGTCTCTGCTGAGAAATCAGCTGCCAGCCTTATGTGTGATCACTTGTATGTGAGAATTTTTTTCTCTTGCTGCTTTCATGAGTCTCTCCTTGTCTTTCAATTTTGACAATTTGATTATAATATTTCTTGGCATAGTTCACTTTGGATTGCATTTCACTGGAGTTCTTAGAGCCTCCTGTACCAGGATACTTATATCTTTCCTCAGATTTGGCATATTTATTTAAATAATCTTGTGTCCCTTTTTCTTTTCTCCTTCTTAGACTCCTATAATGAGAAAGTTAGCTGTCTAGATGCTGTCGTACAATGCATGTATGCTCTTTTTATTCTGTTTATTCTTTTTTCTCTATTGATAGCATGTCTTTTTGTTTTCAGATTTTGTCTACTTGATAAGTTTTCATGTTGTTGTTCTCTATTTCATTTTTTATTTCATTCATTGTGTTCTTCAGCTCCAGATTTCTTTGTTTTTTTAATATAATTTCAACTTCTCTATTAAAAAGGCTGTTTTGTTTCACTTATTGCTTTTCTGATTTTGTTAAATGGTATCATTCTGTTTTCTTGAAGTTCACTGAGCTTTCTTAAAATGATTATTTTAAATTCTTTGCCAGACAATTTGTAGATCTCCATTTTCGATGGGTCAATTACTGGGAAATTATTGTACTCCTTTGGTAATGATATGTTTCCTTAGTTTTTCATATGCCTTGTTGCCTTGTGTTTATGTTTGTTAATTTATTGAAGCAATTACTTTTCTAGACTTTACAGACTCTTTTCAGTTGGGAAAGACCTTCCCTTATAGGTGGGTGCAAAGACACAAGCTGAGAAGGTTATGATTGTTCTGGCTCCCGTAAGGACACTGCAGCATAGTCTCAGTACAGCCCTGTCAGGTAAATTCAATGTTGGCAAATATTTCAGGGAGCCCTAACAGGCAACTCTGTGGATATCCTCATTGGTGGTGAAGGATGTTGGAATTTTCAATGGCAAAGGATGGTGAAAGATGTTGAAATTTTCGATGGCAAAGGCTTCTGGGGTCCCGCTGATCTATTTTTCTTCCAACAGGAAAGTCGTGGCCAAAGGAATCCCTCTTGGCACTGGTTCTGGCTTGAGAGCATGCTTGCACCAGGGTCTAATGCACAACACCTGTGGAGTGGCCATGGCTCTGAGTTCTGAAGGATAGGCATGCATGGAAGGATCATGATTTGGGGGTCCAGGGCAGTAGTGGCACCAGTGCCTGGAGTGCTGGCACCCCAACTGCTGCATTGGTGTGTGCAGGGTGCAGACTAGCCCATAGGAGCAGTGTCTCCAAGACTGATGTGTGAGCATATGCAGTGTAGCCACAGAGCTGGGGTCTGAAACACTGGCAAGCACAGAGCAACTGCAGAGCTGAGACCTGGAGTGTGGACACAGGCGGAGCAGCTGCAGCTCTGGAGTCAACGGTGTGCATTCAGGTTGGGAGGGGTGGCTCTGGCTTTGAATTAGCACAAGATTGGCTGCTTCTTGAGAAGGGGGACAGGGGACATAGACACATCTCCCTCCTCAAAGGATCCATGTCTGGGATGGCTGTTGCTTACCGAGTGGCAAAAAAAAATTGCTGTTGTCCTTTACAGAGCAGGCCCCTGGAGACCACAGTGGCACTCCCCACGTGGCTGATAATGATGTTCCCGCTTTCTTTGTTCCTAGACATCTCCAAATGTTTCAGGTATGCTGCTCTGCTCAGTGATCTTTTCTGTGTGTCTTTTCTTTTTCTTTTCCTCTCCCACATATTGCTGAAGGTTTTTAATTGGGCCAAGGAGGCAGCAGAGCCAATGGTGCTTGCAGTGGCTGTGGCAGATAAGAATGTTATTTGTAGTCTTTGGCATGTGCCTACAGGTAAATCATGGCATACATCCTGAAGTTTTTGAAGCAAAACTCTGCTATTCTCTACAGATAAGTACCCTCATTTTAAGAACAACTTTTGGCCTGCTACTGTACCTTAATAGAGACTAAACTGTCAACCATGCCCCACCAAGGTACCATGTGGCCTGAGCTGCCCATCATAAACTATGCGTTATATGGTCCACCAAGCCTTAAGTTGGGCATGTACAGCAACACCAACACTTCACTATCAAATGGAAGTGGTATATATAACACAGGGCCCAAAGAGACCCGGAAAGCACAAGTTACTTGAAGAATTGACCTAAATGTCTATTGTTCTCACCTCCTCTAAACTATCTTCTCTCTCCCAGCCTGTATCTATGGCCTCATAGGGAGTTCCCTAAGATAAACAGAGAGTGAAAGAGAATACTCAGGCCTAGTTTACAGATGGTTCTGCATGATATGCAGACTCCACCAGAAAGGAGACAGCTGCAACACTATTCCCCCTTTTGAGGACATCCCTGAAGGACAGTGATGAAGGGAAATCCTCTAAGTAGGCAGACCTTTGAGCAGTGCTCCTGGTCATTAACTTTGCTTGGAAAAAGAAATGGTCAGATGTGCAATTATATGCCAATTTTTGGGCTGTGGTCAATGGTTTAGCTGGATAATTAGGAACGTGAAAGAAATATGATTGGAAAATTGGTAACAAGGAGATTTTGGGAAGAGTTACGTGGATAGACCTCTTTGAATGGACAAAAAACATTAAGATTTTTGTGTTCCATGTGAATGTTCACCAAAGGATGGTCAAGTGGGTAGGATGACCTGTTTTCTAGATACTAGTTATTCTCTTTTTTCAGCCATCCCTGTCGTTGCATAATGAGCTCACAAAAAAAGTGGCTATGATGTCAGGGATGGAGGTTATGCATAGGCTCAGCAACATGAAGTTTTATTAACCAATGCCAACATGTCTATGGCAACTGCTGAGTGCCCAATCTGCTACCAGCAGAAACCAACCCTGAATCCCAGATATGACACCATTCTCCTGAATGATTCACCAGCTTCCTGTTGACAGCTTCCATCACTGCACTGGACCACTTCCATCATGAAAGAGGAAGCACTTTGCTCTCAATGGAATAGACACTCTGGATACAGATTTGTCCTCCCTATAGGTAATGCTTCTGCCAAAACTACCATCCATAGATTTGCAGAATGTCTTACTCATGTTATTTCACACAGTGTTGCTTCTGATCAAGGAACTCACCTCACAGGAACAGAAGTGTAACAATGGGCCCATGCTCATTGAATTCACTGGCTTACCATGTTCCCCACCTTCCTGAAGCAGCCCACTTGATAGAATATTAGAATGGGTTTTGGAGAACAATTTTCAGTGCCAGCTAGGAGAAAAATCTTAAAGGGCCAGGGAAATATTCTCCAGAAGGCTGTGTATGTTCTGAATCAGCATTCAATATATGATACTGTTTTTCCCATAGCCAGATTTCATGGGTCTAAGAATCAAGGGGTGAAGTTTGGGGTGGTACCACTCACCACTATACCTATTGACCCACCAATAAAACTTTTGCTTCCTATTCCCATGACATTATATGCTCTGCTGGCCTAGAGATCTTAATTTTAGAAAGAGGAATGATTCCACCAGAAGACACAACAATAAGTCAGTGGAACTGAAAGTTAAGACTGCCCCCTGGCCAACCTGACAATTCTTCTGCTTCTGAGTCAACTGGATAAGAAGGGAGTTATGATGTTGACTTGGGTGATTGATCTAAACAACCAAGGGGAACTGAACTGCTACTCCACAATGGAGGTAAAGAAGAGCATGTCTGGAATATAGGAGATTCCTGGGGTATCTCTTAGTATTACCATGCCCTGTGATTAAGGTCAATGGGAAACTACAACAACCGTATGTAGGCAGAATTACTAATTGCCAAAAACCTTCAGTAATGAATGTTTGGGTCGCCCTAACATTTGAGTAACACTTTGTATTAGTCATGGTTCTCTTGAGGGACAGAACTAATAGGATATATATATATATATATATATATATATATATATATATATATATATATGCATGGGAGTTTATAATTGACTCACAATCACAAGGTGAAGTCTCACAATAGGCTGTCTGCATGTTGAGAAGCAATAAAATCAGTAGTGGCTCAGTCTGAGTCCCCCAAGCCTCAAAAGTAGAGAAGCTGACAGTGCAGACATCAGTCTATGACTGAAGGCCCTGAGAGCCCCTAACAAACCACTGGTGTAAGTCCAAGAGTCCAAAAACTGAAGAATGTGGGGTCTAACGTTCGAGGGCAGGAAAATTCCAGCATAGGAAAAAGATGAAGGCCAGAAGATTCAGCAAGTCAGCTCTTTCCACCTTCTTCTGCCTCCTTTATCTAGCCATGCTGGGAGGCAATTGGATGGTACCCACCCACTGGGTGGGTCTTTCTGAGGGTGGATCTTCCTATCCCAGTCCACTGACTCAAATGTTAATCTCTTCAGGCAACACACAGAAACACCCAGAAACAATACTTCACTTCCTTCAATCCAATCAAGTTGACACTTAATATTAACCATCACGCACCTGTACCTGTAACATGAGATACAGAACTACAACAAACTGAGGTGTTTGCTGAAAGCAAAGGAAATACAAAATGGGTAGCGGAAGAACATAATTATAATACCAGCTACAACCATGTGACCAGTTACAGATGCAAGAACTATAATTGTCATCATGAGTATTTTCTTTTTATTTTGTCATGAATGTGTTTGTGTGTGTTTTTCTAAACACACAAATACACACAAAATGTTTTTCCCTATCTGTCCTATTCTCTTTTCATGTGACATGAGATTTATTGCCTTTATAACATAGTACTGAATGTTATTAATTTTATGCCATAGCATATAAGTTATTGGATATCAAGGAGAAGTACCTCAGTTCCTATTCTGGGGAAATGTTTAGTGTATGCTTAGTTGTATACAGGACAGTTGTATTATGACAGAATTATTACCTTGTTATTGCCTTCATTTGGATATTAAGGATGGTTTAAGGAGCTGCATATGAGTCTGGTTAATAAAAGTAGAATGTTGGTGATTAAATTTATGTGTCAACTTGACTGAACCACAGGGTGCCCACATATTTGGTAAAACATCATTCTGTCTTTAAGGGCGTTTCTGAATGAGATTAAAATATGAATTGGTAAACTGAGTAAAGCAGATTACCCCTCTAATGTGGGTGGGCCACATACTGTCAGTTAAAGGCCTAAATAGAACAAAAAGTGGAAACTCCTGCTGCCTGACTACCTTCATGCTGGGACATTGTTTTTTTTCTTGCTTTTAGACTCAAACTGAAACACTGGATTCAAACTGAAATATTGGTTCTTGCTATGTCTCAAGCCTACTGACTTTTCCATTGGAACTACATCATCAACTTTCCTGGTTCTCAGGCCTTCATAATTCAGACTGGAACAATATACCATTGGATCTCCTGATTCTCTTGCTGTTGACTTTGCTGCCTACAGATACTAGAATTTGTCAGCCTCCGTAATCACATAAGCCCGTTCTTATAGATATAAGTACATAAATAACATCTCCCATTGGTTGTTTTTATGGAGAACCCTGAATAACACATTCATTTTAACAGTCTCTGTCTTTTATTTTCAGTGTTTAATATATTTATAATTAATGGGTTATTGTTATGTTTTGATTTATGTCCAAGATTTTTAATTGTTTTCTGCCTATTCTAATTTTTATTCTTCTGTTTCCTTTTTCTGACTTCTTTTGGACTATGTGAACCATTTTAACATTCTTTTTCAATTTATGTACATCATTTTAAACTATTTCTTTTTGTATAGCTTTTTTTAGTGATTGCTCTAAGTATTATGCATACGTAGCCATTTTGCATTCACTTAGATTCAATACTTTATCACTACACTTTGAATGTAGACATCTCACTGTCCTTCAAATAGTTTCATTTGCCCTTCACTTTCTATGGTACAGTTTTCTTTCACATTATATCTACTACACTAAAATTTTCATCAAGAATCATTATTTTTTTTCAATAATTAAACATTTTAAAGAGCTAAGAGAAAATGACCTTGGTATATTTACTTTTTAAATTTTTTCTTGTTCTTCCTTCATTTCTGATATACCAAATTTTCTTCTAGTATAATTTTTTCTTCTTGTTGAAGAACTTCATTCAGCAATTGTCTTAGAGCAGCTCTGATGTCAATAAACTCTTTCATCTCAGAATTTTCTTTCATCTGAGAACATCTTTATTTTACCTTCATTCTGAAGGATATTTTCACTAAATATAGAATTTTTGCTTGAGAGTGACATTTTTTCAGCACTTGACAATTTCCATGGTTTCTGGTGCAAAATTCACTGTCATTTAATAGATAATGCAGTTTTCTCTGACTTCTTTCAAGTTTTCTTTATCTTTAAATTTCAGCAGTGATTGTGATGTACAGGTGTCTAGGCATGGGCTTCTTTGAGTCTGTCTATTTTGTGGGATTCCGAAATTCTTAAATTTGCAAGTTTATGTCCTTCACCAAATTTGGGCACTTTTAAGCCACTTCATTATTTGTCAGTATCACATGCTTCCTCTTCCCTGAAAACTCTAATGACACAAATGTTGGACCTTTCATTACTATTCCATAGACTACTGGGATCTGCTTAATTATTAAATTTTTTTTCTCAGTTGCTCAGATTGGATGATTTTCATGTAAACTGACTCATTCCTCTGTAATTTTCATTGTGCTATTTCGGCCATCCAGTAAGTTTTTTTTTTTTTTAATTTTGCATTTAAAACATGTTTAACTTAAATGTTTAAAAAATTAAATTTATTTCTAACATTACCTTTTTTATGTTTTCTATTTTAATGTTGAAGATTTCTATTTTTCCATTTGTTTCAAGAATTCTCAGACTTGATTGCTGTACCATTTTTACATTAGCTGTTTTAACATTTTGCCAAGTAATTTCAACATATCTAATTTCAGCATTGGCCCTTTCTCATGTGAATTGACATTTTCTTGGTTTTTATATGCCATGTAATATTGGATTATATCTGGACATCTTGGATATTATGTTACAAGATTCTGAGTCTTGTTTAAATCCTTTGGTGAATATTGACATTTCTGTTTTAGCAAGTAATCAACCTGGTAAAGTTCAGGCTTTACATTTTAACTCACCTTTTCTGGACTGTGGTCCCAATATTAGTTCAGTTTTCGAAGACTTGGCAGTGTTATATAAATCTGTCCATGTGCTTGCCACCCAGTGGCCATTCTGGGACCTGGGTGGTGGCGTAGTGTTAGTTCTCCAAATCTTTGTTGTACTGGTTAGGATTCGATCCATGTATATACAATTCAGAGGTGAGTTTGGGAAAGCAACTCCATGAAGTTATTTATGCACTCCTGGAGTCATTCTTGAGCTGTAACATATTAATATGTGTAACACTAGCACATGAAGGTCAAAGGGGGCAAAAGGTCCTATGGTAGGATCTACCACAGTTCTAACACAGTTGTTTCATATATTTTGTCTCTGTTTTTATCTGTATTCAATAGGTGAGACAGGGTGGATTGTGCTTACTAAATCTTACTCATAAAATAAATCTTCCAACTAATGTATTTCTAATCTCAGAGAGTATTTTTTATCTTTAAAAGTTTGATATCAATCTTTTAAAAATTCTGTCATTTCCCTACTTAAGATGTTCAATTTCTGCTCTAAATTATTGAACCTAATAATAGTTATAGTAAGTTTTAATCTACTTTTCTACTAATTATGTCATCTGTATTATTGCTAGGTCTTTTTTTTTTTTTTTTTTTTTGAGACGGAGTCTCGCTCTGTCGCCCAGGCCGGACTGCGGACTGCAGTGGCGCAATCTCGGCTCACTGCAAGCTCCGCTTCCCGGGTTCACGCCATTCTCCTGCCTCAGCCTCCCGAGTAGCTGGGACTACAGGCGCCCGCCACCGCGCCCGGCTAATTTTTTTGTATTTTTAGCAGAGACGGGGTTTCACCTTGTTAGCCAGGATGGTCTCGATCTCCTGACCTCATGATCCACCCGCCTCGGCCTCCCAAAGTGCTGGGATTACAGGCGTGAGCCACCGCGCCCGGCCTGCTAGGTCTATTTCTATGGATTTTTTAACTTGTCATTTTAGTCATAACCCTTTCAATTCTTTGCATCTTGGTAATTTTATATCAGATGCCCAACATTGGGAAAATTACCTTGTTGGATGCTAGAAATTTTAGTATACCTGTAGCAGTGCTTGATCTTTGTCCTGGGTTGCAGTAAATTATTTAATTATACTTTGATATCTTGAGGTTTGCTTTAAAGCTTTGATTGGCAGATATAGAGAAACCTTTCATTTATGGCTAACTATGCCCCACTATTGAGGCAGTGTCCTTCTAAGTACTCTAACCAAGATTCCTTGAATTATGAAATTTTCTGTTCTTATGAATGGTGTTACAAACATTCCCAGCCACCTAAGCTCTGTGGTCATTTCCTCTGTTTCTTTCAGGTGGTACTTTCCCAATACTCAGATAACTTCCTCACATGCATGTGTTATCTAGTAATCAGCTGAAAACTTGGCAGAGACTTTCTGAATATTTCCGTAGCACTCTTGTATTCTTTCTTTCTCTCTCTGTGTCTTCTTCTTTCTATCATCTTCTCTCTCTCTCTCCTTCTCTCTGTCTCCACACTCTCTCACCCTACCCTTGAAAGCTCTTTCCTTTATAACAAGGTGTCCTGTGAACTCTAGCTGTCTTAGCCTTCCTGTACTCCACTCTGTCTCATCAATTCCGATAGTCTACCAGGCTCTGCTGAGGTACTCTTTCTCTGTACTGCATCCTGGAAAAAAGTTTTCCAGACAGTAGGCAGAAATTACATCAATCACAGAGCTCAGCTCACCTCATCTCCGTCACTTCTCTCAGGAACTACCATCCTGTGTTGCCTGATATCTGATTTCTGAAAAGTATCGTTATATATATTTAGTCCTGCTTTTCAGTTGGTTCAAGGGACAGCTAAATCTGTTACTCCATCTTGGTTGAAAGCAGAAGCCCCAAATAATGGACTTTTAAAGAATAAAATACCCTATTTTGTATAGATTTTAAGTTTTTTTGTTATATGTATCTATTTACTGAATTTAACCTGTAATCTAAACATATAATTGTCTCTTACCAAAAAATATTTAATCTGAATTATCTCCCAGCTAGTTTAACAATAAGGTCTCATTTTCATTTTGCCGTCTGATTTTCTTGACCAAGGCAAGAATCTGAACAACATTTCCAGTGGTTTCCAATCAAATAAAATGTTTCATGTTTAAAAACAACCACAGCTATATATGCAGTAATTATCATGATGATAATAATAATAATAGTTACTTAAGTAATTATTTTTTGCTAATTTTGGATCAGATCCTGAGTTGGGTGCTTTAAGCGTGTTTAGCTTATTGAATGTGCATAGCAAACCAACATTTCTGTTAATGACCTAACTTTACGTATCAAGGACCTGAGTCTTTCATAGATCAAATACCATTTTAAAGTCATGCAGCTGACAATGCCACTGCCCAAACAGGCACCCAGGTCTAATTGTACCTAGAGCTCATCCTTCTGTTTAACTCTCTCTTGTTAACTGATTGGTGGAGACAGTAGAGATGTATCAACTTTCGACTCCTAAACACTTTTATTACTATCAAATTTATAGTATTAAAATTGGCATTGTAACCAAAAAATAATTCAAAGGACCGATGTTGTGATCCAATGAGGCATCTCCTTATTTGTGTGAGAATGTGTCACATCCCTATATCTGATACAGCACACTCTCAGCACAGCTCATACAGTAGCATCATCATTATTTGTTTACTTTGCATCCTGACCAGAAAGCTGTGAGCTGCTTGTGGGCAATAGCTATATTTTATTCTTATCTGTATTCCAAGTGTCTCTCAGGCTAATACCTGGCTCTAAAAAAAGTTCAATAAATGCTTATTAAATGAATGAATGTTTCCAATCTACTGAGCTAAAACTCATTTATATTTCATTGCCTACAAAAATAGAGAAATAAAAGAAAATTTATTTTCTTTATAGGAAATTAGTATGTAAAATTATATTATAAGGAACATAAATTTTATGTTTCAAACACACCCAAACTCAGATCCTTGTACTCCTCTACCCCGACATAACTACATACCCAACAACCTCCACACCCACACTGCATGGTTGCAAAGATTGGCTAGCAGAGATTTTTAACTGGGCACCCATTAAAAGCTTCACACTTAGTGAGCAAATTTCAAAAGGACTATGTATTTCCTGGAATTGTTTATAAAATGTTATATATGTGTGCATTTTTCTTGGTGGAAGATGAATAGTTTTAAAAATATTTTCAAAGGAATATGTGGTTCCAAAGTACTAAAGATTCAATTAGTTATCTCTTAAGCTATCTCTTTCTCTCTTTGCACTAACAATAGGAAAAAATGAAAGATACGAGTGAAGCATGGAAGGAAGGAAGCAAGTAACCAAGAAAGAGAGAAAGGAAAGAAGGAAAAAGTTTGGAGAGATGTAACAGCAAACTACAGTATTTTCTCCGTTTCTCAGAGTCTCTTCCTTCATGAGCCCACTCCTACTGCAACCATTCCACCAAAATAGCTCTGCCGAAGGTCCTTGCCAAAATAAATCTGCCAAAGGTAACCTCTGTTCCCAAGTGCAAAGGATTTGTTCCAACCCCTAAATTATTGGATGTTCTGGTATATTTAATATTGTCTCTTTGCAACTCACACTCCAAGCTTCTTTCCACCGCTTTCTCCTCCTTTCTTCAGTCTGGAGTTTTGTAGAATTTGACCTTCAACCCTCTTCTTATAATATATTCACTGTAGCTGAACTCATCAAGGGCCACAGTTTTTACCATCATTTCTTATGTTAGGAAATTGTTCATCTGGCTCTCTAGACACACCTTGCCTATTCAGAGTTATACAGACAGATGCCAGTTGGACATTGTCCTGTGGATGTTCCAGAGGTTCTTCATCAAATCCCTTGCCTTATAGCATACTTAGGCACATTCTTTCTGGGTTCCTTTTTTGACACATATTGAGCCCCTATGCTCCCACCATACCAAACTGATTTATTTTTTTCCTCACAAACATTGTGTTTCTTTCACTTCAGTGACTGAGTCCTGTATGTTTTCATGAAGCTTCTTGGAGATGGCATTCTCTTGGAAGCCTTTCTCTTGCTTCTAGGGAACTCTGTTTAACTCTACCTTAGCACTCATCACAGAGGATTATTTGCTAGTTTCCTGACTACTAGGCTTTTAGCAACCAGGCAGCAAGGACTCTGTCTCTCACCTCTGTACCAACCATGCAGCAGCATCAGTCAAAGGCTTGTCATACTAAGCAGTTCCCCAACAAAGGTTTGTTGGATGGTGGGAGGACAAGTCACTAGGGCAGAATGAAATAGCAAAGAGGACACTAGCAGGGGAGGGCTGCTCTGTCTTACCTAACATTCTCACCTTTCATCTGTTCAACCATCTTTGAGTATTTGCCTCATTTCCCTCATTCAATCAACAATACCATAATTTCATTTGAAGATGGCATGTATTTACACATAAAATAACTTTTAGAAATATGAATGGCTATTAAAATGAAAACACCACTTATGTAGAAAACAGACTTAGTCAACTTTATGTCTGTGTTACATTGATCCACATCACATTTTGAAAGAACTTTATTTCTCTAGGTATTAACTTCTTAAATTTACTAAAGCATGGACTTCTCTATGACAAAAAGTAAATTATAATGAAATTTGATATTAACATATTGAGATATACTATGAAAATCCTTTATGGGCTCCTTGAAACATTTATTAAATTCAATGAAAATGAATAGACATAAAACTGAATGGACTTGTGCCTGTTCTTTTATAGCTCTTTAACCTGGTAGACCCACCTCTGATTATGAAACCACTGTGACATAAAAATGTGCAGCTGAATTTCCCAACGGGTTCTGCCCAGCCTCTGTTACATACTACTTTTTAATTTTCTAAATAAACTTTAGTTCTTATACATACTTCTACCACCACCCCTGATATTTAGAGGAGTCGATGTATTAAAAAATAATAATTCCAATGGTGGTTCTTGGCCATTTCTCAGGCTGCCAATGAATGTGTTCTTGTGAATAGTGGTAGTGTTAGCAGTAAAAAATAAATAATTTAAAAATAGAGTAAAACCAGAGCAAAATTATCTTTAACAAATTTGTGGTATAAAAAAGAAAAGATTGTATTAAGTATAAAATTTGACTAAGTCGTTCTTGAAAAAAAAATTTAATTTTAATTTATTTTAACAAACAAAATGAACTACTGATCCTCAATCACATAATTTGAGGTTTTTTGGGGGGTTGGGGGAGCACTGTTCTCTGGGGCAGATTTCTCTCCCTTGGGATTAGAACAGCATACAAGATACAGTCATTTTTGAATAGGAAGCTTCACCCAATGCCTTCACTGGTGCTCTATCTTTATCAGCACATACACAATATTCTGTCAGGTTTGCCCTCCTAAAACCACATATCTTTATTCAGATATTCTTTTGTTGCCCAAAACATGTAGCATAAAGTCAAACAGATTTATGAAGTCATTATGTAATTATTATTTTTTGACCCGTAAGAAGAGTAGAAAAGCACAAAGGCAAAGAACAATAAATGTTTAATGCCTTACTTTCTATCTCTTCTCTTGAAGAGAAATAGGGTACTTTACCGTTGCCCGGTTTTATTTATTATATACCACATAATTGCAGAAAACCCTGGCTCATGTTTGTTAATAATAACTGCTATTAAACTTTGAATGCAAGTGAATTTTCCTGTTAGGAGAAAAACTAGAAGTATTTAGCCATCATTAAAAAAAAGGACTGTAACAATTTTTAACAAGTTGACATCTTTTTTTTGTTATATGAAGAAGATGTGAGATAGTCTTACATATTAATAGTTAATAATAAAATGTAGTGCCTGTATGTTTAGGAATACTCCCATTATCACATATATCCCATAACTTAAAAACATCAAGTGTTAACTAAATCAAAGTAACTAACAATGGAGGATTCATATTATAAATTTAAAATTTCAAAACAAACATAGCCATATAGAAATCAAATAGTAAAACCTGTAAAGTAGAGGGGTATGCCTTTCCAGATTCATTATACCTTTGTTACTATAGTTTATCTGATTTGCACTTTAAAAAACTGAGGACTGTATTAGTACCTTCCTCATCTGTATGTCAGCACATCACATACATGCATTTAAAACAAATGGAGTCGGGACTTCCGGATTCACAGAATGAGGACCTGTGTAAATCAATCTATCCAAAAAAGTAACAAAAATACTAGCAAAAATTGTAAAGGTCAACTTTTTTATAGCAGTCAAAATTGACCAAAGTCTTGTAACAATCGGATAAGTATTTATTTAAAAAAATTAGAACTGCTGAATCTTTATGAGAACAACAGTCGTCAGTATTGTAACTTGACCTACTCCCATTCCCTTCTCTTCAGTTTTACAGTAGTCTGAGAACGAGCAGCCTCAAAACAATGATAGTTGTGAAAACTACCAGCCTTGTTGTTGTGGAAAGGGAAGATTGGGTTTACAGTTCCACAAACAGTGCTAGTCTCAAAGCATCATCACTATTGACCTATCTCCCAGCTCTATCAGAAGCCCTATTTGCAGAGTATGTCATTATTTGACAAATGTCCGTGCTTACTCCATGGGAAAAGCCCTGTTTCCCAGGTGTTCATCATAAACAATCAGCAACAATTGTTTAATATCACAACTCCATGAGGCTGCAATATCAGTGAGGAAAACAAGAACCTGGACAAAATCTTTAAAAAAACACATAAGAAGTTAGAGACTACGATATGGGGCATGGGATGTCAATGGGACTTTTGAAAGTGTTGATATGGATTTAGAAAACCCTACACATCTGCAGAACCATTTGTATGCATGCCCAGGAGAGACCTGAGAGAGCTACAGTTTCTCATTTTGTTCATGTTGAGGCCCTGAACATGCAGGAAGTGAGTGGTAAGGCACAGTTGTAAACTGCCTACATGGTAAACACTTTCCCAGCACACACTTATTGGAAAAAGGGGGAAGATAATTCACTGAAAAATAGCAAAAACAATACAGCAACAGTAATAAATGCCAGAGAAGGGAGTAGGCAGGCAGGAATCTCTTTTATAAAATTTGTACATGATTTTTTTTAAATGTCCAATTTTCAACCACAATGTATATGATACACAAACTAACAGGAAAGTGAAGCCCCTATATAGGGGGAAAACATAAATCTGCTACATAAGCAGTTGATGTAACAATTCTTAAGAGAGACAGATGTTGGGACTACTGAAAAAAGAGCTTAAATCAACTGTTATCAACATATTGGAAGAACTAAAGAAAAACGTGTAGATAATGAATGGACAGTATGATAATGAAGTCTTACCATATTAAAAAATATCAATAAAGAGATGGAAATTATACTAATGGACTAAATATAAATCCTGGGGTTAAAAAGTGTAATAAATGAAAATTCACTAGTGAGGTATAGTAGCAGAGTATAGTAGCAGAAGAAAAAAATCAGTGAACTCAAAAATAAATAATAGAGAATATTCTGTCTGAGGAACAGAAAGAAAAAAAAGAAGAAATAATTGTGGAAAACTTCCCAAATTTGATGAAAAACATTAATCTAAAAATCTAAAAACCTCTACAGACTTCAAGTAGGATGAACTCAAGGAAGTACACACCTAATCACTTTGTAGTCAAAGGTAAAGAGAGAAACTGGTAAGAGAAAAAAAAATGACTTATCACATAAAAAGGCTCCTCAATGTGAGTCATGGCTGAGTTCTCATCAGAAATCATGCAGTCTGGAAGGTAATAAAATGAGACATTCAGGGTGTTAAAAGAGAAAAATGTTAATCATGAATCTTATATTCCACCAAATTAACTTTCCAAATTAAAAACAGAATTCCTTGCTAGCATACCACTCCAAAAGAAACACTAAGGACATTGTTCAGGCTCAAATAAGAGGAAATTAGATAATAGATTCAACCACAGGAAGAAATAAAAAGCACCAGTAAAGGTAACTAATTTGGTAAATATAAGAAATAGTGTAAATGTATTTTGGTAATATTTTCTCCTCTTATATAATTTGAAAGACAACTACATAGCAATTATTTTAAAAATGTGTTGATGGGCATATAATGTCTAAAGCTCTCATTAGCATAACAATAATAGCGCAAAGAAAGGGTAAATCCAGCAATGTTAGAACAAATCTTCTGTATATTATCTAAATTACATTAGTATTAATCTAAGCTAGATTATTTTCAATTAGAATGCTAAATGTAACCTGAAGGCAACCATCAATGCAAAAAATATATATACACAAATACAAAATAAACAATGGGGAAATTTAAATGGTACACTAGCCAGGTGCAGTGGCATGTGCATGTAGTCCCAGCTATTCAAGAAGCTGAGTCAGGAGTACCGCTTGAATCCAGCCTAGGCAACATAGCAAGACCCACTATCAAAATAAATGAATTTATATATATAACTTACATATAATTAAAATAATATACTAGAATATATGTATTTAGCATAAAAGAGCAGTGACAGAGAAAGTAACAAAGGTGAGACATATATAGAAATAGTACCAAAATGACAGAGATAAATCCTACTTTATCACTAATTGCATTAAATATAAATGGATAAAACCCTACAATCAAAGATAAAAATTGGAAGAATGGATAAATGTATGACATGGCTATGTGCTGTCTAGAAGTAAGACACTTTGGATCCAAAGATACAAATAGATTGAAAGTAAAAAGATGGCAAGAGATACATCATGCATACAGAAACTTAAAGGGAGCTGGGGTCTATAATATTAGACAAAAAGATTTCAAAACAAGTATAATAAATATTAGATTAGAAATAAATACAGGACAGAGAAACAATAGACTTTATCTTAAAGTCTATCAGGAATTATAATATATACTTCTTCGATGAAAGGAATAAATTCCTATAAACATAAAAACAACTGAAAATTATTCAAAAAATAGAAAATCTGAAGATACATATAATAAGTAAAGATATTAAATTAGGACTCTTAAAATTTCCCACAAAGAAAACCTGAGGGCAAGATGCCTTCACTGATAAAATCTACCAAACATTTAAGAATAGTTAATATCAATCATTTGAAAACTTTTACAAAAAAGTAGAATGCAAAATCTTGCAGGATTTAATAACAATGTACAAAAATCAGTTGTACTTATCGACATTCATTACAAACAATCTGAATCTAAAAGAAGACAATTTGATTTACAGTGCAATCCAAAATAGTAAAATACATACGGAATCTAACAATAAAGGACAGTATGACTTGAACACTGAAAACTAAAATACATTATTGAAAGGAATTAAATGAATACAAGATTTCTTCTTAGAGTAATAAATATGTTCTAAAATTGGAATGTGGTTGATGGGTGCACAACTGTGAATACGCTCAAAAACATTAGATTGCATATTTCAAGTGGGTAAATTTTATGGTATGTAAATTAGATCTCCATAAAGCTGTTAAAAATTTTAAAAAGCTGCTAAGCTTGTATTATATTTGTGTTTTTAAATTTGCATCTTATCCATAACACTGTATATTGCCCAGTGATGTGAATTCCGTCCCATGGTTAGTTGAATCCCCAGTTAATGCCCAGTTTTTGGTTTATTGATACAGACAACTAAACATTTACTCAATACATAAACAAAAATGTCATCTTTTCAAATTATAAATCTGAATTAGGGCAAAAGATTGTCTTTTTAACTTTTTAACTCCTGTAGAATCATTACCTGGAATAATACTGCTCCATCATGACCACTCAACATGTAATTATTGGATAAACCATTAATATACAGACAGACAAACAGATAACCTACTCATTTTGCTGGGCAATATGCTATGATGATAATTTTGAAGGCTCCAGAATAGGACCAAACTTTTTCTGTCTCTGGAACTATCTGATGCTGTGCTTTAGTAATTTGAGATTTACAATTTGTATCTGACATACAGCTTCATTTCATGTTTTAAATTTCTGTTTGTCAAAGAATGCTCTAATAAATCTAAAACTTTTATACAAAATTCTCTTCTGTATAGTTCACAGTATAAATTACGCATAAGATGATTAATTTTTTTCAAGACAGTCTTATCCAGTTCTACCACTGTTATCTACTACAAGTCATCTCTCAAAATATATCAATCAAAAAATTCATGTTTGGGATGCCTACCAAATTCCTTCCCCAAATAAAATTCTTCTGTTTCCTCCCCAAAGTAAAGTCTCATTGCTGTGAGAGAAAATAAGGAAACATAATCCCCAGATATTTTAGAAATCTTAGAATGGACATTCTCATTCTGCCTTTATTCGTTTCTGTTTTAATTCCTGAATAACATATGCATATTGCTTAGTATGGCACATCCACTTAACAGTATATTTTCTTAATATTCCATCAGGTAGAGTTATTTTTTCAGAAGGAGACCCTTCTCAAGTGGGTCTTGTTGGCATTTTCCTGTTCTTATGAATCCCTGCATGGCTATTGATCCCTTCTTAAGAAAATCTATAACAACCATACACACACACACACACACACACACACACACACAAAAGATAACTTGTTAAAAAATATATACACACGTTAAGATTATATTACAAATGAGTAAGGGAACAGCTAACAAAATTCCTGCTCAAAGGAAGATTTATCCTATTGCAGGGGCTAGGACTTCTTCAACCTGTACACATTCCCATTAGCAAAGTGGGGTTTCATTTTCTCTGATAACATCTTCAGGTGCGTGTGTGCGTGTCCTGGGGGTGTGTTCCAGTGGCTTGCCTGCTGCTGGTCACAGGGGATCCTGAGTCTTTGGCTGCTCTTTTGGTTCCCCGCTATCAGCTTGAATTTTTTGAGAGCAGGGTTCCAGGAGTTGCAGAAAAGGCCAAGAAGGGCTGACCTAGATGAAACATCATCAGTCATAATAAATAGCAGATAGAAACAATTTTCACGTTGTTAGATCATCAAAAGTGAAACAGAGAAAGCTGAGGGCTCACCTGTAACCTTCAATTGTAAATAAGAAAATTACTATATTCTATCAAAATGTGTGTTCTTGTTCCGTTGTCTGGACTGACTCTGTCTGCCCAAGTACACCCTTAGTCCAGGTAATGGCTCTATCATGAATGGTGCCTTTCATATATCTAACATAGAAAAGCTCATTTGGCTTCAAGCACTGTAATACAAATGTTCTAATTTAATGCGTGAGTGGTTTTGATTCGGCCAGTTATTATTCATATTGTTGGTTATGGCTATGGCCTCAATGAGTCTTTTGAATCAGTACCTTAGTTATAATACCTCAGGTTTTGATTTCAGTTTGTATAGCTACTCTTTTCATTCTATTTCCAATAAATATATCTTGACTTTTGTATCTCTTAATTCTGAATGATTCGTATTTTGTCGTTTGAGGTCATCGCTAAAACAGTATCAGGCATCCACCTGGCTCTCCAACTTGCAGCGATGGTACCTTTCCTTCTTGCACTTAGTTCTCTTGCCAAGAGAGACCACTCCTGGTGCCCATTAAAGTGAAGCATTTCCCTGTCTCTGGACTTTAATTCACCTGTTACATTGAGTGATCAGGTCTCTCCTGATTACATGAGTCTGATAATCTTTTCAAATTCAGCTCTAAATTTAACTTTAACACAGACCTTTGCTTCTTTATTTCATCAGTTGCAAGCAAACTCTTGTTTCTGAATCTGTATCCCTGGCGTATGTTTTGGACTCTCCGGCATGGCAGGTCCTATGTTTCTTTCCCCACTACAGTGTTGTTTATGTGCTTGGTTTATATCTGCTCCTGTCCTTGAAGGTAACAGCCTTGTCGACTCTTTTATCCCACAGGATGACAGTTGAGACTGGTTGAATATAGTAAGTGCTTCACTAATATGTGACATATGAATAAATGAATCAAAGAATTAAAATGAATATGATATAATGGCAAGATACATATGACTAGTCCTTAACTTGGGTGACTTGGGACAAATTGTGAATATTTCCATTAAATAGTAATTCCTCCTCTTATAAAATAAGGGGGATGGATAGTATTACCTCTTCACTCCACCTCTAATGTTGTGTAATCTGTCCAGTGGGGAGTGGAGGAGAAGTAGTATAGGGAAAATAAGCTTGTTTGGTCAAATGCTTTGCCTTTCAAAAGAGCATGTGTCTTGGTAATATCATTCTGATGGAGTGAGTCAGGAGAACCAGCTTTGCCCTCAAACTGCAGGAGGTGGTACTCTGGGTTTCCAGTCTTCTCCCAGCATGGTATAGTAAAATGCATAACCTAGAGAATGTAATTGTTTTTTTCTATGCCATTTTCAACCTGTTTCATTGTGAAAAAGTTACTTAATCTCTCTGTACCTCATTTCATAAATGGTGAAAGTAAGATAATAATACCAATGAATAGATTTTTAAAAAGGATAGCTAAATTCATGAGCATGAGAGTGTTATAGTGTTTACAAACAACAAAGCATCTGGAGCCACACTCCCTGCATGAAGATCAAATTCCTGTGTGACCTTGGGAAAGTTATTTAACCTCTCTGAGTCTGAGTTTCTGTCAACAACGGGTATTATCACACTTATGTGATAAAACGTTTCCAAGGACTAAAAGTCTTAATAATTAATTGAAAGACTCAGAACACATGATTACTTTCAGTAAGTGTTAATTATGTTCATTAAGTGCTCAATCATTACTTTATTTCACTTATCAATGTCAAATGGGTGGTAGTTTTGCCCCCCCATTCAAGGATTATAGAATATGAATCAAGAAAACCCAAATGTTCTTGTACTTCATTGCTATCCTCTACAACATCTTGTTTATTGTACATTAAAATGTCTTCTGGTTCCCTGGTTGTGGTCCTCTTTCTCCTGACAACCCAGACTCCTTTGCTGTCTCTGATCCATTTAATAGTTTGATTTCACATTGTCTGTCCTAGACAATTCTGTTCCCTTCTCCTGTCATACCCTAAGTTTTCTTTCTTGACCTTCAAGATTTTCTTGAAGCCAACAGTAAATTCTAGTTCAGTTTCCAAATCTTACCGTGTTTGTCCTGCCTTATTTACCTATATTTTCTTTTGTTGAATTATAGACCCAGCAATCAGGATTTCATGTCCTTTAAGCTGCCAAAGACATCTGGAAAAAATGCCGTGAATTATGAAATTTATATTTGAAAAATATTTAAGACCTGAAGGCAGCACAAATGCTGTCATAATTATTCAAATCCTGCCTAACATATATGCAATCACGAGGCTAAATGATGAGGAAAATACGTGGTATTAAAACAAAGGCAGAAGTAGAGCAACTTTTATATGGTGAATATGAGAATCAAACCGAAATTCAAAAATGTAACTAATACTGACTTCTGTAGTATCAAATGTGTACCTGAAGAAATGGAAATCATATTTGAACCCAAATCTTTCTTAAAATTTTTTATTGATAGATATCTCATATCTGTACCTATTTGGGGGATACTGACGCATGTATACAATGTGTAAGGATGAAATCAGAGTAATTGGGAGGTGAACCCAAACTTGGAAGTGAGTATCGCATATGACAGGTGACCACACATTTCACAGTCACAACACTGAGAGCTGTAGCTGATTGTTGAGCTGCTATGCCACACTTGTGCTTTCCATATGTTGTTTTAGACTTCGTCAATGTAGCTACTAATATTGCCATTATAGAGAGTAATTTAAATGAAATGAGGCACCCTCATTTCATTCAGTTGGGTCTCATCAACTAAGCATGCCCAGCATGGCCTTCCATGTCTACTCTATCTCTAATAGCATCTGCTGTCACTGTCTCCATTTCTTCTCCATCATCTTTCTTCATTCCACTTGTTACTGCTTGGCACTGCAATATATCCACACATGTGCATTTACTGTCAATGTCCCCTCTAATACTTAAGTATCATGAGGGTAAGTGCTTTGTCTGTTTGGCTTATCATTGGAATGCCAAACCACAGAACAGTGCCTACCATGCAGTAGAGGTCCCAAAAATATTTGTGTAATAAAAAAATATGAAATCAAATACTTTACCTTACCCAAGAATACACAATTAATAAGAAGAAAAAGCAGGACTTAGACCAAGCTCTGCATTATGTAAAGGGCATTTCCCTCCCCTGTGGCCATGTCACTGCTTGTATTTCCAACAGTGTTTTCCATCAATAACCTTGACCTCAGAGTGGCCTCACATTTTATTCTATCCAGCCCTCCAGGCCACCTCCAATTCAAAAACAAAAACAAGAGTAAGGTCTAATCTATCTCCATGGCCAAGGGTATTATCTAAGACACTGTAAAGAGGATGCAGCAGGAGAGGCACTTTTTAACAGAAAATGTGATTGATGTATCCCTAACTTACTAATTGCATTTTATAGAGAGAGTTTACACACACCACTTTTCACAGAGCTCTGAGGAAAAAGAGAAGAGAAGGAAAGAACATTAAAAAGAAGAGTATGCCATTCATGTTGACTAATGAAGGCATCTCTATCTTCTGTGACCACCTTTTCATGTGTTCCTTTTTAAACTGCAATCAATGAAAAGGACAGACATTCTCGGTATTAATGGACATTTGATTAGGCAGAAGTATGCCTTCCCCATGCTAATGATCAGTAATGCTCCTCTGTATGTGAATTTCATTGCCCTGAGAAAAATACGTCTTTCATTTGCATGATTTAAAAACCCCTCCCAATCATCTAACATTAATTCAGCTAAATATTTTTAACTCAAAAGACAGTTCAATACAATAGTGCGTATCTTTTCCCAAAATTGCTTTGAATTTTCAATTGTGATACCTTGAAAATTGTGATCTCTATTAACTTTGATGATGACATTGACTTTAACAGTAAAAGAATTTCTACCCCCATCTCATCGCTTTCTATTCTGAGCCTATTCTCAAGATTGCTCACACCTAAGCCCAGTTGGAACCCAGGTGCCATTTCTGTTACTTAACTAGCAGCTGTGTCTTTTAAATCACTGCCCCTCCGTTGAAGATGGGACATTTTAAATACGTTTTTCAATAAAAAGGATATGTCTAGCAGCTGTATAGGAGCTGATCTCATCCCTTCTCTTTTATCTCATATAACACTCACCACAGACTAACATAATGGTCCTCATCCATGAGAATTTGTAATTCATGCTAACCAAAGAAAAGGCAAATTCAATGAAAGAAACAATCCTTTAAAATGTTATTTATTTCCCTTCTTTCACATATGAAACACTGAAATTCCATGGCCAGTTGTTATAAAATAAGGCATAGGAAATGAAGTAAAACAGTTCTTAAATTTGAAAAAAATACATTGTCCCACAAAACAAAATAGGTAAGGATATAAACTGTTAGTAACCTTCTGTTTATTCTTCACAGTGAAATTTTAGAGAAAAATAGAATCTTGCACATGTTGCAGATTGGTACTCTTTTTTTCTGAATTAACTTCAAATACTTTAATATGTTCAGGTTCAAACTCAGAGAAGGGAATGTAGTCCTTCTGTTAGAAACTGAACTCTCTGTTTTCAGTAAGTGGTAAATTCTTGCTTCTTTAATAATCGCTCTCTGGAAAGCTAAGATCAGAAAAACTGAATATTTGCTCTATTTTTATGTTTACTATGCAAGGTTATCATTTTTTTTTTGAAGTTTGCATCTTATCCCTTGAATTTGCTGTGTCTGTGAGTTCATTGTAAGAGATGGATCTATAACTGTGTACATTTATTAATGTATTCAGTATGTTCTTTTGTCCTATGCTGGATAATGTTGAACACACAAGGGTGAGTAGCTTACAATCATACAGGGAATGATTACATAAATAATACAAATAACACAAGACATCATGGTGTTTGGATCAAGTAGAAGTCCAGATTTATGGCTATGAAATTCCAAGGATAAACTGACTAATTCTCTCTTGGAGATGTTGAAAAGATTTCCGGGAGGAAAGAAGTGTTGGCTGAGCCTTCCTTTGCTGGGCTGAAGCAGGCCTTGTAGAGGAGGGTGGGCATTATAGAAGAGTTGTGCTAGGCTCTGAGTTGGAGAAGTGTGGAGAACATTGATAGAGGAATACGCACTAGTACTCCTTGTAGCTGTGGAATGGAATGATCATCAGAGATTAGTGGCAGAGAGTTTATAATGGGAATCTGGGATTGGATCATGGAGAACCATGTAATTTAGGACAGCCTCTCAAAATTATAAATATGTGAAGAACTTAGATCGCATGACAAACAAAAATTATTTTGAGAGCAAATGATAACATGATTATTTTATTTTTATCTTAAACCCACCATTTATTTAGTACTACATAACAATGCTATCTAACACAGAGCACTTATCATGTACAAAGAATTCCATATATATGATTCTATTTAATTCTTACAATAACCTTGTGTGCTAGATAGTGTCATTGCTATTTTAAAGAGAAGAAATTAAGACCCAGGGAATAAAAGTTCTTCCCTAAGATCACAAGTCTTATGGTGGCAAAGCCAGTACAAGACCTGGGCTGGCTAACATAACGCTTACCTCTAACTGTGCTAGGACCCATAGTAGAAAGGCCTGTGAGTCAGGTATTTTCAACAAAAGAAGTTGCACCTTTAGAAATAGTTCATTTAAATGAGATAAACAAGGAAGGTAGGACAAATAGAAAATGTTTAATTATTACATGCATCTTACTACTAACTTTAGAGACTTCTTTCCCCAAGACCTTTGCATCAAAGGGACATCATTGAATGACTTCCCAGAGGTTCAGAAGAGACAACATCAATGACAAAGAACCAATGGGAATACTACAGAAACAGTCATCATTTTATGGGTTATCTAAATGACACCTACACAAAGAAAAAAAGTGTTTTCATAGAAGGATAGTTTTTTTTCACTTCCACAAATATTTTTACGCATAGCAGCTATTTTTATACATATCAAGCAAACAGAGGATAAAATCCTTCTTTTGGGCTAAAAAGCATTAAATGCTTTGCTCAGAACTCACTGGTAAATAATTGTCTGGGAATGATTTCTGGGAAAAGCTACATTTCATGGAAGCTGCAATTATGAATTCAACAAAGTTATGTGGGGTGGAGGTGGAAACACCTCCTCTTACAGTCTGGGCTCCACTTTACCTGCTCTGAGTCTAATGCTCCCCTTGGCTATGCTCTCATTTCTTTGCTTTCTTTTTTTTTTTTTTTTAACTTTTACTTTGTAAACATTGCATCTTTTAAAACGCTAGGAATCCAAAAACTAACACAGCATTCAAAGTGAAATTAAATCAGTGGTTTATATAGCATAATGTCATAATATTTTCCATACTATTTTCCCTTGCCTTATTAATATAACCATCAGTCTATTAGCTTTAACTGCTCTGAAGACTGAGCAGATGTCTTCAATGAATACTCCATCCATAATTACCCCTTATTTTTTCCCTGAGAAGTTCAGCTAATTCAGATCTTACCAATGTATATGAAAAGTTTAAATGATTTCTACCCAAATGCATTACCTTTTTCTTATCTACATTAAATTCCATCTGTCATTATGTTGCACAGTCTCACACTTTGATTAGATCCTTCTGGAGTTTTTAACAATCCTTGCTAGTTTTTTACTAACTTAAATAATCTCATGGCATTTTATAGAAGAACTTTTTAACAGTTACGACTTTTTGCCAGCCTTGCCTTTGTAGGGATTTGCTGTTAGTATTGTGTATGCATACAAACGTGTTAAGTGTGATGGTTCAGCAATGAAAAAACACAGACACTTAAAAATAAAAACATACAATAGAAACAAAATCAAGTCTGGAAGCCTTTTACTGCCTTTTTGTGCAGTGTTAACATATATGTGTTTCTGAAATGATACTGATTAATTGCCACTAGAGGAAATAGGAGAATTCATTGACAGTTGTATTTTCCACCAAATATTGTATCTGAACATCCTATTATCTATGATTTCCCAATCAATGGAAACAATTTTAATTGAAAAAAAAGTTCTCTTGACCTTCATTCTTCAAAGATGTTTTAAATAAAATTATATGTCATTATATTATTTTCCACCAAATGGAATCACCTGTCTGATTTTCAAAGCACAAATTCATTCTGAGACTATTAAGAACTCCTAAGTAAGCTTTTCCAGGAACAAGGGTAATTGTTTGCTTACAGTTTCTTCTAGCCAAAGGTAGAAGTAGAAAGTTATCTACTTGATTTAGTTTCAACTTAAGGATTACTTTTCCTCTTCCCCAACAAGGATGATCAAATCCAAACCAAGTTCTTGAATTTGGAAAGGACTAAAGGTCTTTGTTTTAACCTTCAACTCAATGGAGGCATCTCTTCTATTCATTCATTTACTCAAGAAATAGTAAATGAGAACCAAATCTCTGTTAGGACTGGGAATATTACCATGAACAAAACAGACATGGTCAGTGACCTTTGGAATCATTCTAGACTAGTGACCATATCACTGGGCTGGAATCCTCCCACTCCTAGGGAATAGTTAAATATAATGTATATGGGGATAATTATCTCAGGCATTATGTTAAGTAATTTGCCTATATTACCTAGTTTATCATTTATTAATTTTCTACACAGGTACTCACTCTCCTTTTAAGGATGAAGAAATTGAAATTTAGAAAGACTAATGGTCATGCCCAATGTAATGCAGTCAGCAAATGAATGAACTAAAACTGAAATTCAGGTATATCTCATTCCAAACCCCTTACTTGCAGTCATCTGTTCCCTGTGGATCCTAAAAATTGCTAGAATTCTACCTTACATTAATCTCCAATCGCATTCTTGGAAAATTTGATCTATAGCTTATGGCTCTATCATATGAAATTTAAAAATTTTTTTGTTTCATATAGAAATGTCTTAAACCATTGAAGACAGTTATCAAGTTCATTGTATTTTTCTCCCTCAAAACTTAACTTCCACACAAACCAGTAGTTACAGATCTCTTAGAATTCTATTTTGTGGATTTACATTTTTTTTTTACTATTCTTTTTTTTTTTTTTTCTTGAGACAGAGTCTCATTCTGATGCCCAAGCTGGTGTGCAATAGTACAATCTCACCTCACTGCAACCTCCCACTCCCAGGTTCAAGTGATTCTCCTGCCTCAGTCTCAGCAAGTAGCTGGGATTACAGCCATGTGCCACCACACCTGGCTAATTTTTGTATTTTTAGTAGAGACGAGGTTTCTCCATGTAGGCCAGGCTGGTCTCAAACTCCTGACCTCAGGTGATCCACCTGCCTTGGCCTCCCAAAGTGCTGGGATTACAGGCATGAGCCACCATGCCCAGCATTTTTGCTATTCTTTGTACAATGAAACCTAGAGATATGTATACACTTAGTAGTTTATTATCTCATTTGAGGTGCACAAAACCATGGAGTTACATATTAATCTTTCATTGAAGAAACCAGGCCTTGGTGAAATTCAGCTTAGTCAGGCAACACAGCAAGTAAGGGGCTGACAAGGATGGCAAACCAGTTCTTCTGGAGTCTGCCAGATCAACTGTAAAATTAATAATTTCTTATTGATTTAAATTACCATTGTTTATTGATCGGTATTTAAACATTAAACAAAATTAAAATAATTTACAATAAAAATGAGTATTTACTTTATTTGAAAACATGCAACTCACCTGTAGTTTTGTTTATAGGCATTCTATCCTCCTTTGAGAATACTCCTCGGTTGCCTAACGTCTTAAATCCAAAGGAGTACAAGAATATTCTGTTTTCACATAAAGCCAAGTTCAAATGCAAGCTTGGCACACCTTTGGGAGCAATATACTCAAAGTTGCCTCATGGGGAGAGAGGACGAGAGGGAAGTACAGAGAATACAGCCTTGGGATAAAACAAGAAGAGGGAGAGGCGATGTCAATGGCATCACAAGGTTTGAGAGCTTTACATACACACACAAAGGAGATACTGTTCCTAGGGAACACGGCCCTACTGACACCCAGGGTGTGTGTGCCCGTGCAGAAGAGTGTGTATGTGCTCCTTCTACAAGAGTTGGGTACATTTTGTTAATCTTCAAGCACTGCTCTGTGCTGTGTAGAAGGAGGATACAACTAGCGTAAGGCCCTCTTCTTTAAATAATTCACATCTCTATTAGGCTCACATATATAATAATGTATGTGTACATGTACATAAATATGCATAAATATATATATTCACACCTATTTAATTATTTATGTTTGGGTAAGTAAGGTCATTCCTGGAAGAATTCTTTCTTCTCATGTTCTGGGAAACAGCTTTACCCACCCTGTAGCACCTGGCGTCTCCAGAGCACCAATCACAATAATGACCATGATTCGTTGCATTGCAGAAATGCTTCAAGTCACAGACATACGCTTGGAAGGAGTTGGTACAAGAGCGTGCTTTTATGAGATTTTTTTTTTCAGGGTCTTCTCACAGCAAGCACTTCAGACAAGCAAATTATTTTGATTGATATTCCTTGTTGCTATTATAACGTGCAGGTCATTATAACCTTTAAGAAATCTATGTGGGAGCTCAGGTAGACCAAACAATAAATAAAGCCTTTCGTTCAATGCTAGGATTAGCGTCTACCCTATCCAGGCTTCAAGTGAGAAATAAGGAAAACCCATTGAGAAAAGAGATCTCCTTGCACCTTGACATCTTCCCATGGCTCCAGTAATGAGCTGGAGAATGAACTTTCAATATTTGTGCCACCATTAACCCTTCTCAAGATCAGAAGAGGAAGCCTGCAGTCTAACAGGACTGTTGTCATCAACTGGTGCATGTAACTTCTGCATATCTTAATAAAAATATATCTAAAATTTAAATTGCATTATGGTTAATGAAATTTTAAAAAGCAGTTGGTTGGTTACCGAGGGATGTGTTCGCTTTTGTTTTCTGAAAGTGCTAGCTTTTCTGGAAGGTTTTCTTAAGTATCTGTGGTATTTGCATGTTTGTGAACCTTGGTGGGGTCAGTGACTTCTCTTGCATGCTTCTCCTTGGTAGCTTTTCATTTTTATCTAGGCCTGGTCACAAATCTGTTACTGAAAAAAATCACTTAGATACTTTGCTAAGATGAGTATAACACATTCCCCAAAGTGTTTCTCAAGACATGCTTAAACGAGCCCCTGCCTACCTACTGTATCTTGCTGCAGAATATGACAGAGATTGTTTACAATACCTTCCTAGAAGCCAACTCATAACATTTTAATTTAATGGGATACATACTCATGTTTCAATTAAAAGCAAAATTATTATGTTCCTTAGTTTGTGTGAGTTTTTTGATAGCATAGTACATTTATATGGTAATTTTCCAAAGATCAACTTTATTTATCGGTAAGAAGCTATTCCAAGATTGTTGTATATTTTCTTTGCTTCTGAAATGTTATCACACTTAATTGCCTGATCTTATTTGGGTTGCAATCATAGTCATTAATTAGTAGGAAGGTGAGGGACAGCATCATATCTAACTATCTGTTATGGCTGCTTTAATGAGGGAAATACCTGCCATCATTTTAAAGGCATCTTGTATACTTTACAAATACAGCTTGCTGTAGCATTCTCATTTAGGCTGTGAACATCAAAGGAAATTGATGTCAGGTGTGAACAGAAGCTGTTGAATATATCTGCATGCAGAGGAAACTGAGTGGTGTGTCTGGATAGGAGAGATGAAGGGCAGCTTATAACATTAACAATACTACAAGTAATTAGTGTAAACTTTCGATGGCTGGTATGACTCAAGAATAAAAAATATTATTTATATCTTTATCCTGTAACACTGCAAAGTTCAACATATGTTCGTTGTTTTCATTTCTACCTCTATAAGAAGGCAGAAAATAAAATTGAATAATGAAAATTCATTTTTTCATCATATATCTTTATATGTTATAGAGAAAACATGGTTCAGAATCAAAAGAAAACTGTTTTATAATTATAATCAAAATAGCAATTTAGAAGTTTTAAGTACCTTCCTTGCTTCCTGGTATATTGTTGAATTCAAAGAAACAAATGGAAAAGTGAATGATTGACTACTAAAATAAATGGCTTTGATAAGTGTTTCTTTTAGCACAAAAAGTAAATATTTTTAATTTGTAATATTTTTGAATGAATTTTTTATAAACTAAACTTAGATATAGTGCATGTGTAATGCAATGTGCTAGAATAATATTTACATTCCAAAAAGGGTGTTACCATACATTATACCACAAAAAGCTTCCTTAAGTAACATCAAACTGTAGACGTACCTGGTAGACTGCAGCAGTTCCCAAGAATTGTATGTGACACTTCCTACCCCCATTAGTAAAATCATCATTTCTGGACTGATCATTGACAACAACATAACTGATAATAGCAAGGTGCTTTCCTTGGCTTTGAAAGGGTAGATTTCAATTCCTAACCCATCTCTTTAATGTTCTGTTTTTCCTTATCCCTCACCTTGCTTCCACAAAAGGCACTGCTGAGGAGAGCAGATGTTCTCCAGAAATCAGCTTCTGCTTAATATTCAGCCAAAAGGGGGGTTCCTCTGTGCTTGATACTACAATTTTTTCCTACTGTGAATAAATGATTTTAGTCATCATGTTTATGATATATGACTACTGTTTACTTACACATACTGGTCACTTATTTGTAGATTTGGTTGATTAGATCCAGTTTTCTCAGTGATTATTGATTGCATTCAGAACAGCTTCTGTTTCCCTATGAACAGATCAATAGAACTGACAAGCCTCAGTTTCACTTAAGATTATTGCAATTCCATGTACTAAACCCTTCAACACTTACTTATAGGATTATCCAACTTACCTATTTCACTATCCTTTTGTGGAATAATATTTTTGGTGTCCATCTTCCTAAAATCTCTATATTTTATAATTGTGTAAGATAATTCTCACAACTTCATATGATCCAAAGTAGTCTAAGTTTGCACTGCTTGATATAGTGAATAGCCTCTACACACATGTAGCGACTTAAATTAGTTAAAATTAAATTTATTTAAGAATTAGTTCATCAGTTGCACAAGCCACATTTCAAGTGCTCAGTGGAAGTACATTTTACAGAACATTCCCATCATTTCGGGAAGCTCTTTTGGACAGTTTAGTCATGGTTTATGTGTTACAGTCCTACATCATCTTGCTAAGACAGCTACTTCAATCACAAATAACTTGCTAAGACATAAAACTTGCCAAAGTAGGAGATTCAGCCCACTTACCTACATAACGCTCTGGTGACTTTGAAGTATAACACTTTGAGAGAAGCAGCCGTTTTTATTTTTTTCCTTTTCATTTTTATAAAATGAGATAAGATCTTTCAAATGAGAAATGCTTCATCTAGCCTGAAGTAATAATTAAGTATATGTATATATTTTCAGTTAGCAGGACATTTTATACAAGACCTGGTCTATACCAACTTCAGAAGAAGATCAAATTCTCCAACTTAGATTTGTTTCTGTTAGCCTGAGTTCTTTGTAGCTCTCTGGCAACTGCCTACTGGGTTTCCAACTGTGGCTTTACCACGTCCTATTTGTATAACGGGATAATTATTTAATTTCTTTATCCTAGTTGTAAAATGGGAATAAACATATATGTAGCTCTTAGGGTTGTTTTGAGGGTTTAATTGGTTAATATGTATAAAGAAGTTTAGGGCAGTGGATATAGTATCCTATTATTGTATATTCATTATTATTTGTATTGAATAGTTTGATGATCTGCTTCTAGGCCTAATTACCTGATCACACCATATTTCAAACAAATATTAAGTAAAGATTATAAGTTAATTCATCATTATAGTGCACACGGAACAATCGATATACTTTGTGTGGGAGCCTTCATACATCTGTCCTCAGCCCAGTTTACCTGCAGCTATGACAGTATCCTGGTGCCAACGTTCTATGGAAAGGGTGGCCAGTTGCATAGTGGTCATGTTCCATGGACTGAGATAACCTGGCTAAATTCAAGATCTCCTATTTAATGGCTTTTTATTATAAGATAAATATTTACTCTAAGGCTTAGATACTTTTTCTATTAAGAAGATCAAATTCCTGCTTATCTCAATGGATTCTGATTGTGGAAATTCGATATGTATTTAACACAATACTGTGGCACATGGTAATTGCTCAATTTGCTTTATTATATTTTTAAATCTCAGGTCAGACTCTAAGAGAGTTCAGACTGGAGATCCTTTATCCATTCATTTATTTATTTAATGCATGTTTATTGATATCCCTATTTCAATGCTCATATATCACAAGGAAGAAACTCAATATTGGAGATTCAGCAAGGAACAAGAGAGTCAAGCTTCTTCTCTTAGCACCTGTTTCACATCAAGGGGAGGGAGGAATAGATTTTGAAAAACCAGATAATGGTAGTTGCTATGCAGAAAATTTAAATGAAATAATATGATAGCGATGTCTAAGAATCTACCTTAAATTGGAAAGTAAATAATGCCCTCTCTGAGGCGGTGACACTAAAGTTAAAGTGTGAATGACAAAAGGCCACATAAAGTTCCTTTTGTATTCTCACAGCCACCGATTTATTTCATCGGTAGCGCTTCCATTCTCTATTTGCATGTTGTTTAAACATAGAAAGGAGTTTGAAAAATATAATCTCTATTTAGAATGGAGGCCTGAGTAATCTCCTTAAACTAACATAATCATCTTGATTGTAACTTTGATATTCCAAGGACAATACAAAGGCCAGCTTTAAAAGAAAAAATAGGAAAACTCCCTGAATTTTACTCATTTATAAGACTCAATTAATAGGCCAACTTCTTGCCCTATCACTCTAGTATTACTAGAGACCCAAAGAAGTTCCTAGTTGCCAAGCCCAATATTCGAGCCCTAATCCTATGCAGCATTCCTTCTGCATTTTACACTGTCAATCCTTCTTTGCTTAAAGTTCTCCACCATCTTGATTTCTGTCACACCTAATGTCTCAGTCTGTTTTGCATTGCTATAAAGGAATACCTGAGGCTGGGTAATTTATCAAGGAAAAGAGGCTTATTTGGCTCACAGTTCTGCAGGCTGTACAAGAAGCATGGCACCAGCATCTGCATCTGGTAGGAAACTCAGGAAGATTCCAATTATGGCAGAAGGTGAAGGGAGAGCAGGTGTGTCACATGGTGGAAGAAGGAGGAAGAGAGAGGAGAGGGAGGTGCTAGGCTCTTTTTAACAATCTGTTCTTTTGTGAACTAGTCAAGCGAGGCCTAACTCATTACGGCAAAGCCATTCACAAAAGATCCTTCTCTGTAACTTAAACATCTTCCATGAGGCCCCACCTCCAACATTGGAGTTCAAATTTCAAAATGAGATTTGGAGTAGACAAATATCCAAACCATATCACCTCACTCTGTTTTCCTACCCTTCTCAATGCCTCTTTCTCTTCCTAAGTGATCTCATCAATCTTCATAGTTCTACTCACTGTCGGTAGGCTGATAACTCCCAAATCCATAATCTCAGCCCCAGATACCTCCCTGAGTTTCAGAATCCTCTCCTCTGGATTCTCCATAGTTCCACCTGAATATCCCACAAACACAACTGCTTCTCTACACCAAGCTCAACTCCTCTTCGCCTCCCATTCCCCAGCATGCTCACCTTCCACAGTCCTCTCTCAGAGAATGACAGTTTCATACCCGCAGTCTCACAAATTAGATTGTTCCTCTTTCTGGTGCCGCGTGTGCAATGTAAACCCAAATAAACTAAATTAAGTAGACCTGGTGAGTAATAGCATTGTTACACAGTATTCAAATGTTATAGGTAAATGTGTTTCAGAGGTATGTCTGAATATGTTTACCATCGCAGATGTACAGAGTACATTAGAGGACCAGTCCAGGGCAGAAAGGTCAACAATGACTTTTCTCATTAAATATGTTGCTTCTTTTGCATTTAGTTTGACAGTAGAAAATTTCATAACAATTCTTGGTAAGCTCTGATAGTTTATAGTTATTACTCTACCTGCAGTTTTTTCTCATGGAAAACCTGTAGAATTGGGGAGGGAAACATAATTTATTTAAGCCTATGAAGAAAGAAAAAAAAATGTGAGTACAAATATGGAAAATATAAAAGATGAAATGTGTTGGGACAATGTGTCCTGGAGAACAGATGGCTGCTGGGGGGAGGGAGGTGGTTAAATAACTGTCCTCAAAGAAAAGGAGAGTCTATAACAGGAAGTTTCTATATAAATCTTCCCAGAATGCTAAGGAAGAGAAATTTAAACTAGATGTTGAACCGACTTTATTTGTTTCTTTTCCATTTTCAGAACTCAGTGCTTTTGGATAACTGGACATTTCCTATACTGCAATTTCTTAGGTTCATTCCTCTGGGAATAAAATCAAACGTTGATAATATGCTTCTAAACAGCTTACCCCTCTTAAGATAAATAGTCCCAATGTTTGTAAAACTTATTTTCCCTATACTTCACCCATTTCACAATTCCCCATTGTCTTTACATTTTTTCCTTCTCAATTAAGAAATGAGATTGTATAATTCTCATTTTGATCTTCACCAATAAAATATCTCCTTATGTTGTCTGTATATAATCCAGAGTTGACTGATAATTGTATCAAGCCCACCACTACAGAAATATTCCAAAGGACCCAAATGTTCAACCCTGTTAATTACAATGGAAATCTAAATCCCATCTTGGAAAGTCAGCCAGATTGACAGAAAATAATAGCTCATTAACTATCAACCAAACACATTTTAAATGTTTCAAAATGAATTTTAAATGTTCATCATTCTGGACATGGAGGGCGGTTCTAAAGAAAGCTGGAGTAGGACCCCTCGGCAGTGTATAACATTTTCGCTATGAAGTTAAACAATAGAAGAGACCTCCCAATGTCTTTTCATGTGTGCCTTGCTGCTACTTGTGTGAATGTGCAGTAATTAAGCAATCTAAACCACTGACTGACCCAGAGAGAAAGCTATTGCATTCTAGGGATGTCCTTGAAAGGTCTTCATCATTATCCAGCCAGTTTTCTTTATCTCCACAAGAGCTAATGTCAGCACAACTCTGTATATCTCTTTATTCAGAATGGTCTCTGCAAACAGAAAAGGTGGATCTGAAATGTATATGCACAAATAACCCGTGCAAAAACACAGTGGCATCCTAATGTCCTGGGGTAAATGCCTTTAGGCCAAAAATGAGGGAGCCAGAGGAGAAGAAATGAGGTGGTTAACATGAGTCTGGGTGAGAGTGAAGGAAAAGGAAAGTTAGAAGAGAGATGATTCTTTTTTAAGGTCAAAAATACAATTGACGTGAAGATGCTCTACCAAGGAGATCACACTGACCAAATTTGTGTCATGTAATGTCAATAGCCATCACAGCTGCGATAAGATTAAGAGTGCCTCTGTGATTGGTAACTTGGGTCTCTGGAGTTCCAGCACTAGAATTTTCAGGTTCCACTGCAGGAAACAGCCCTGAAATCACTTCTTGACGAAGCCCCTTTTGAAAGATGTACTTAGGGACTTTAATTAGTTTCTGAAATTTGTGACACCCTTTTGAAAGATAAAAAAACATGACTTAACTACGAATTCAGGGAGGTGATGTGGGACAGAGTGCTGCCGATCTTGCTGGCAGCCACAAGACCCTCTTCGCTAAACAGTCAAATGTAACTGAATTTCAACAAAGGCAGTGCCTGAAATCAGGGTGGGGAGAATGGCATTCCCCCACAGCATGGTGCACAGAGAGCAGGTTTTCTTCTTAGAAAGGGAAATGCTTTACACTGACTACCGTCATGTCTCCTCGTGTCTTTTTCTACAGATAGGAACACACACACACCATACACACACACACTCACATACACACACGTGCGATTTATTTTAATAACCTAGGAAGGCATTTCTTTCTGAAGGAAGGTGAAATGACCAAAGGAGTTCTGGGATTGTAGCCATTTTACATGTATTGATTTATTGATCCTTATTGTCTTATTAAATTATAAATCCAATTTAGAAGAATTACGTGAAAACAGAAGTTGCTCTGCTACATGTGTTGGGTGATAAAGGTCTTTATCCTTTAGAATAGGACATAAGCAATGATAATCAGGAAAACCTGAACCATAGTTCAAGTTGAAAAACTATAAGAGGAAAAAGAAATGCAAATCTGTTTCCAATCAGGTAAAATATAGAGAAGATTCACTTTCCATAAATACGAGTAAGATTTGTTTTCACCAAAAATGAGGACTAGAGAGAAAAATTGTGCTTCAAAGCTTATCATACATTTGTCATTAAGTCCTAGTCTTATTGTTTTCAAGCTTTTCGCCTACATTTTAGACTAACCCTGCTTATTCCTATGAATCAAGTAGCGATCTCCTGCAGCGTGGAAGAAAAAATAAGACATGGGTAATGTAAAAATCTGGATCAATATACTAGTTCTTGGCAATTATCCTGCAAATTCTGCCAGGTAATAAAAGTGAGTAGGGTGCCCATAACCCAGAGGTTTCTTTGTTTAGGAAAATAAAACCAAGGAACTTCATAGACCCCCAAATGGGAATTCTATATCTTGACAAGTAAAATTTGAGATGGAAATTATCTACTGCACCACGCTTATGGAAATTACTATACTCACTCTATTATCTGCAATAGGGTTGTACAAGGTAGCACCTTCTAACTGAAATATTAAACAGAGACTTTCCATTGCTGTCATATTTTGCTTAATTTTTATACTTATAGCAGAGCTAATAGTTACAACAAAAAGGAAGCATGAAAGTTTTACTATCACTGCGTCTGCTAGGACTTTTTATTGGGTTTAGTGATGCAATTTTAAATGAAGCACGCTGCTTTTGGATTAATACCTCTAGTAAAGTAAAGGAAAATCTACAGATACTTAAAAATCAAATCAAAATTATTGACAAGCTCAGGGAAAATGCCAGATTCAGCCCTGAGTAGCCACAATCCCTCTTTAATAAATTCCAGTCTTCTTTATGGAATTGGTTAACCCCTTTATTAAGCCCTCTCTTGCTTATATGTCTTTCATTGATATTTGGACCCTGTATACACAATACTATAACTTGAATTGTTCCTTCTCACCTAGAAGCAGTCAAACTCCAAATGCTGCTGTCAGCTGAACCACACATGGAAACGCCATTCTTCTGAGGACCCTTAGATCGACCCTAGGAGGAGTCTTAGCTGCTGTTCCCCATTTGATGCCCCCTTTCAGCAGGAAGTAGCCAGAAGGAGTCGTCACTAAAACCCCCTAACAGCAGTTAGCGTGGCATCTCTACAGGGGGAATGTTGTAGGAGTTATTAAGAAATTATTTTAGGTAGATAGAGAGGAAAAAGGGGTCCTTGGGAAGTTTTTGTTTTGTAAAGCATCTCCGGAAAAGTTTCTTGTAAAGACCCGGCTCTTAGAGCCAGGCCAGCAACCTTTGATATGCAAATGCCAAAATGCCTGCCATTAGAAACTGGGTCTACCCAAACAGGACGATTCCGGAGATTTTCTTGCCCTTTCCCTACATGTTCCTGGCAACGTGTCCGCCTCCATGTATCCCCACGTGTGTAGAACATCATGGTGCCCTGCATTTGTATATTAAAAGGCTAGGGTGGGGGGACCAGCTTTTTCAAGGGCGATGTGAATGACATGCCTAGTCAAACCAGTCCTCTGAGCCCTATGCAAATTAGACACCGCTTCCTCCAACCTTTGTATGTATACCTAGTTGGTATCTGTGGCAGATGGGGTCTCTTCTCTCGGCTTTGGAGCCCCCCTCTCTCTGTCTCTGTACAGGGGAGCTTCTTCCTTTTCCCTTCCTTCTTGCTCCTTCTTGCCTATTAAACTCTCCACTCCTTAAACCACCCCCCCAAAAAAAACTAGTAAGATTTAATTTGCATGCAATTTATTCAATCAGCCATTCACTCTACAGATAGTTTTTAAGGACATGCTTCTATTTGAGGTAGTGATGCTGGAAATCTGGAAAGGAGACAGTGATGCACTGAGTGTTCCCTGCAGCCTCAATGCCACACATGTTATTTCATTTGATCCTCACAGTTTATTCATGTCTTGTTATCCTTGCTCTGTAGAAAACTGGAGAGAAACTGAACTTACCCAAAGGTTAGGGAGCTGTGAAGTGGTCACAGCAGAATTTGAAGCTAGGTCTGTCTGATATCCAAGCAGCACAATTTCTCCTTATAATTTACTGACTCATCTCCACCCAAGATGAAAGAGGGTTCCAAAGTACAGTGAATCAGACAGAAAGCATAAAAAGTTATGAACACCATTATTCTTAGAGGAAAGTCAAGCAGCCGCATGTTCATTCTAAATCTATCAATTTGACTATAGCTGTTTCCCTTAGACTCTATTAGTCTCCATATGTGAAAAGTATTTTTCCTTCTCCTGAACATATTGCTTTGCTTTATTTACTTATTTATTTCTTTAACCACTTACTTTTTAACTTAACTGCCTTATTTCCAAAGAAATTTGACACAATTGTAATGTTCATGCATGTATTTATATGCATATTTGTAAGTATGTATGTTATATACGTATGTATACATCCTTTGACAATCTTATAATATTCAGTAAATGTCAAATAATTGATTCCATAAAAAATACACACAACATATCTAAACTTCTGAGATTATAAGACAAAATGAAAGTATAACCATTATCTGTATAGCCCTTGAAACTTTGGTAGAACATAGGTCATTATCATAATATTTCTGTTACAATTACTGAGAAAATAAGTCTGTTAACAAGATGATCATTTTCTTTCTTAAAGGTATTCACTTTCCTATCAAAATCCCCAAGAAAAGAAAAAATTCAGTTGTCCTTAGAGAACACAAGCAAAATGCTTGCCACAGAAGCACAGAGGCCACAAGGTTAGAAAGCGGAGCTAATGACACAAAAGTAAAAATGTAATGTCCATACAAGGCTGTTGCTTCTCTAAGAAAAACAGATACCCCACTTACTGGTCTCAAACTGGACATATGTCTAAATTCCTGGCTTGCCTTTTATAGGTAAGAGTCATTTGCTTACGGTAAGATCAAGAAGGTTTGCTGAATGCACAAGCCTATAGGCACTACAACAAAAATACTTCAAAGCATATAGACAACTGAAAACAGGTCAATACAGTGGTTTTAAAGCATTTTTAAAACTTCTTTGACACTCCTCCCATTGAAAGATGGAGTCCAATACTCATCCTCTTGATTATGGCCAACTTCAGTGCCTCTTTTTTTTTTTTTTTTTTTTTTTTTTTTTTTGAGGCAGAGTCTCCCTCTGTCGACCAGGCTGGAATGCAGGGCCACCATCTTGGCTCACTACAATCTCCGCCTCCTGGGTTCAAGTGATTCTCATGCCTCAGTCTCCTGAGTATCTGGGACTACAGGTGAGTGCCACTACATCCAGCTAATTTTTTGTATTTTTAGTGGAGATGGGGTTTCATCATGTTGGCCAGGCTGGTCTTGAACTCCTGACTTTAAGTGATCTGCCCACCTCGGCCTCCCAAAATACTGAGATTACAGGCATGAGCCACTGTGCCTGGCCCTCAGTGACTCATTTTTAATTAATGGAACTCAGCAGAAGTGACATGGCATGACTTCAGAGGTTAGGTTAGAAAAGGCAGCATGGCTTCTACCAGCTCTCCCTCTTGGGACCTGTGTCCCTGGAAACCAGCCACCATATTGTGCAGAAGCCCAGCAGACACGTGAGAAGGCCATTTGTAGCTTTTCCAGCCACATCCATAGCCAAGGGGCCAGCTGAGACCCAGTGGCCACAGCCTGCAGCCACTGCCAGCCACAGGAGTGAACAAGCCTCCAGTGGTGCCAGCTAGCTGCCTTTGAGCTTCCTAGCTGAATCCAACAGGAGCAGAGATAAGCTGTTGCCACCAGCCAAGCCCAGATTTTACATTTGTCAAATAGAATAACTGATATTTGTGTTGTTTTAAGCCACTGAATGTTAGGATGACTTGACACTTAGAAACAGATGAAGGGATCAGACGGTAGCACTAATTCCTAACACACAAAATAAATATTTGTCCATAAGAATAACCTCTTACTTGACTATAATAATATACTTTCCATTAATAATGATGCCTCTGGGGCCTTCCATTCTGGAAGAGCAAAATTAATTCCTGTGTAGGCCTCACATGATAAAAACCCAATGGAAACAATATATTGAGTTTGCCTCTCTCCCATTGTCTATTCCCTTTAGTACAGTCATGGGCTTTCTTCAGGAACAAGGATGACCCTCTGACCTGCTACCTTAATTGGTAGATATGTGGTACACATATTCACAAAGGTGTGAGAGGCCTGTGATCATTACACTCACCTCAGCAGGATGCTTACTGAATTCCTGATTATGCGGTACTCTTCACATTAGATGTGTGGCCACAGTTTCTAAACTAATAATGAGCACACATGGTCTGATAGAGAGAGAAACCACATGAGATATACATTAAACCATAATTAGTTATACATTTAATAGATATATTTAGTAAACAGAACAAAATAACATAAGTTCAGGAGTGGCAAAATTGTTGTATTCATTTGTTTGGACTGCTGTAACAAAGTACTGCAACCCAGGTGATTTAAACAACAGAAACTTATTTTGTCACAGTCCTGGAGGCTATAAGTTGGAAATCAAGGTACCAGTAGGGCCGGTTTCTTCTGAGGCCTCTCTCCTTGGCTTATAGAAGGCCATCTTCTCCCTGTGTCTTCACATGGTCTTCCTTCTATCTCACTGTGCCTTAATCTCCTCTCCTTCTGACATCAGTCATATAGGTTAGTGTCCACCCCAATGTCTTCATTTGACCTTAATTACCTCTTTAAAGACCCTGTCTCCCAAACAGTCACATTCTGAGATACTGGGGGTTGAAATTCAACATATTAATCTGAGGGGGACCACATTCAGTCCCCAACAACTAGGAAAAAGAAAATGCATTGCATGACTTCCTTCTTCCTCTTCGGTTCACTACACCTCCATATTTGTAGTACATACTATTTGCCAGGCCTGTGATGAGTATTTTACACGTGATCTCATTCATACTTTGTGGAGTGGCTAGTTTTATGCCCATTTTATGGATAAGGAACCTCAGGTTTACAGAGCTGGTTTAATTTTCCCAAAATAAGGCAGGTTGCAAATGGCCAAACCCAAGTTTGCGTGACTCCAAAGTCCGTGATATCTTCATCAAGCACGTGTGCTGCACAGTGAGCTCATTCCACTCAGCAGCCCTTAGGAGCATCTCTCCTATTCACACAAGAGCATGTTTGGCTGGGTGTGGCAGCTCATGCCTATAATCTCAGCACTTTGGGAGGCTGAGATGGGAGTAAAGCTTGAGCCCATGAGTTCGAGGCTGCAGTGAGCTATGATTGAGCCACTGAACTATAACTTGGGCAATAGAACAAGACCCTGTCTCAAAAAAAAAGCATGTTTATTTTACTTTTACTCAAAATAGATATTTTTAATAGTGACATATTATATACAATAAGAAATCAACAGATGGTATTTTTAAGTGGGTGATGAAGTGGAAATAAATTAATTTTGCCATTACTCATAAGATATTGTCTAGAGAAAAAATATATATTATAAAGTTAAAATATGAATATATATACAAACGTATATATGTATTTAAACGTAACCACAAAGCAGCTGTGGTAGTATTTATACAAGAGATATTGGCAAATGCTATATACATTTTTCTGAAGAGCAGGTTGTTAAACATTTACCCCCTTACCACTGCTATAAAACATTAAAATGCAAAACTTTCATTTTCTCAAAAAGAAACCCTATGCTAACAAAATGGACTACAAAAAGAAAATTATTAAAAATAAAAACCAGAAAACATTGAATAAAATATGCTTATAAAACTAAGAAATACCTACCATATAAATAAAGATAAAATGGGTTAGTCTGTGAAACGTAGAAAGACTCATTGGGTTTCAAAGCAAAACCCAATTATAATGTATATACAAGATGCTCCCAAACCACCCACTACCCAAAAAAATGACATAGAATGCTCAAAACTATAAAGATGAGAAAAAGAATGCCAGGCAAGTGTAAAACAAAATGAAAGTTGTGATTGTAATCTTAAAACTGGGCAAAGCATTACCAGAAACTGGTAACAGTGGCTGTCCCTATGAAAGGGATAGTAGTGGGATAAATTACCAATGATTAATGATTCTGCATTTCATTTGGAACAATTTTAATATTTCAGTATCACATGTGTTTATCACTTATTTCAAATAAAAAGAATAACCTATTCTTTAGAAAGCAACGTGCCTCGTAAGCCAATGGGTCTCAGACGTTTCCATGCATCAGATATGGCTGGAGAGCTTGTTAAAATGCAGATCACCGGGCTCCATTCATAAGCAGTACTTATTCAGTAGGCCTGGGATTAAGCCCAGGGATCTGCGTTTCTTATAAAATCCACAGAAGATTCTCAGTCCAACTTGAGAACCCATGACATAGTCATACTCATGGACAAGAGGGATTCCCAGGCAGCTGAATCCATGGAGTACCTTCCCGATTTGAAAGTGGAGGGCTAAGCGCTAAGAGGCAATTAGCAACTGTGATGTATCCAAGGAAGAGTAGCGTGTCCTCAATCACATGAAAGGGAGTTCCCTTTTATCCGGAGATATCCACAAGGCCTGTGTAAATCAAGATATGAACGTTCAGATAATGGCATGCTCACACCGTCGCCTCTGAATTTCCTTCACCTTCCTTCCTGTACTGGTAACTCCTCCTTGGGGTTTTTCTCCACAGCTTTTCAGAGCCCCAGGCTTCAAACTTGCTACCATTGCTCCCTGAAGTCTGCCTGATTGATATTCCATTGTCCAATCCTTGCCTTAGTGAATATGACCAACTAATGAATAGCAACAACAATGACTTACACTTCCAAAAATCTTTACTGTTTATAAAGTTTTCTCTCATATCTTGTTTCACTTGAGAGTTCCTTCAAATGGAATGTCACATAATTTTTTGGATTGAAAGTCATTTAATTAGAAATGGCTGATGCAATCATAAATGCCTAATGATAAACAATGATCAACGTTGAAATTTTAAAACATGACACAATTTTGCAAGGAAAGATGCTGGGATAAAACGAACTTTTCCAGGACCCCTCAATTCCACACATGGCTGCTTAAATGACCGATGGGTGCTAGATTTTCAGCAATTAGATGCTTTGTAGGTATCTTGGGTTAAAATGCAGTGAAATAATCTGTATTTATTGAAAAAGATTTGTTCTAATTTGTATTTGTGTCAAATGCCTTCCTGCTATATGAATATCCACTTCAAATCTTCCAGTTCCTGGGGTGGCTAAGGAAGCCTGCAATGCTGACCTATGGTGGGTATTAATGGACAACACCTGCAATACATTCTACACATGGACTATTTGAAGGGATTGTCAGCTCTTTAAGCAGAGCACTGGTGGCTTCTTGCCCAGCACTTGGGACAGGGCCTGACATACAGTAAATGCTAAGGTCCTGGTTAGCAGCATTGGATGCACATTGAAGTCACCTGGGAAGTTTGTAAAAACAGGAATGCCAGGGTCCCTTCAGAGATTCTGATTAATCAGTCTAGGATGTGGCCTGGCATAAGGATTCTTAATAGCACATCTGATGCGTCTATTGTATCATGAACTTTGAGAACTGCTCTGCTGAAGCACAACCTAAGAGCACCAAGTGCTCCTACATCTGAAATTCAGAAAATGAATAGTGGTGAAGATTTGCAACTATATTTTAGCAAAGGAAGGTGCATTTAGTTGACCAAGTTCTGTCTTTTGGATTTGTTTTCCAGCTTCCCAATTAGGACTAGCTGATCTGAGAATTAAAGATTAATTTTTAAAAAGGAAGAAAGACATAAGGATAAATTTTAAGCTCAACTCAATGCATACATCCCTTCTATCATTCATGTATTATGAAAACCTTGTGTGAAACTTCTAAGTGCTAAGATTGGGGATAAACAAAGAATAAGACAAATTTGGCTTCTTCTCTTTGATGCTTCCTTAACTAGCAGTCATCTCAGTTCATCTTGAGTTCTTTGCCCCCTAGGGAACTTGCTTATTCAATTGTAATATAAATGTCAGACACTGTCCTAAGTGATTTGCATATACTATCTAATCCACAAACAATACAGAGGTTGCTCTTATAGTACATGAGGTACACATGTGTAGAGATGTTCCAGGATCTGTCCAAATTTATGCAGCCAGAAAGAGCTAGAAACAGGATCTTAATCTAGAGCCACCTCACTTAAAAACCCATGCTTTTATCATCTCGTTCTCTTTTTTGGATAAATGTAATTGCTCAGAATTCTGAAATTTTACTCTGACCTTCTGTCAAGTGCGTAGGATATTTGGACTACTGCAACATCAATGGGATTCTCCACCATGAGAAATTTTCAGATATTAGAAAATAGCGGCCGGGCGCGGTGGCTCACGCCTGTAATCCCAGCACTTTGGGAGGCCGAGGCGGGCGGATCACGAGGTCAGGAGATCGAGACCATCCCAGCTAAAACGGTGAAACCCCGTCTCTACTAAAAATACAAAAAATTAGCCGGGCGTAGTGGCGGGCGCCTGTAGTCCCAGCTACTTGGGAGGCTGAGGCAGGAGAATGGCGTGAACCCGGGAGGTGGAGCTTGCAGTGAGCCGAGATCCCGCCACTGCACTCCAGCCTGGGCGACAGAGCGAGACTCCGTCTCAAAAAAAAAAAAAAAAAGAAAATAGCATCTATGTTCACTTATTTTTATTCACTCCAGATGTCAATCATCTTGGCCATTTGTCTCTGGTTTTATACTCGGTGACCAATGCCCATCTTGAGTTTTATCACTGAGTACTGGACATATCTTATCAGGACTAGTGGTTTACTAAGTGCTTTCTAATATTGTACTATTTGATACTCATAAAACATCTGTAGAAGGTATCAGGTTTCTGCCTTCAAGTCCAGCATGCTGAAAGAGATGGTCGGGTACAACCACTGGATTTCATGGAACCAAGTGGACCATGGATTGATATTTTTATCATGTTCCAGCAAACTGAGTCATATCATTTCATGCATCAATATGTAAATGAAACGCAACACTATTAAGAAAAACAAGGAGATCATTATAAAATCAAGGACATCTTATACCTTTGGAAAGGAGAACGGGAAGGGAAGGATGGGAGCTTCTGAGAGGCTGGAAACACTCAATGTGGTGGTGGCTTACATGGGTGTTTGTTTTACCACCACCCTTACACAATTTTGCACTTTTCTGGTTGTATGTTCAGTTATTCAGGAAAAGAGAACTTGTTCTAATGCTTTGTAAAAAAAAGGAACTATGCTTTTTGGCACATTTTGGAATAAATGGTACCTTTCTTTTTCTTTCTTTAGCTCATATTCATAACTTTTAATTGACCACAAATAAGTTAAATATAATTCATCAAAAAAAGCTCTAATATACTCAAGATAATGCTGTGATATAAATGCTCAAAAGGAAAAAGATTTCTCTTTTTTCACTTTATTTATGCCATGAAAAGGTATTTTTTTAACTCAAAATCACATCAATAGTAATGATGGTCCTAATGACAGCTCCCAAACATATAAACCAATATGCCAACATTCTCATTTGATTCTTAGTCAAGCATCCTGGCTCACAGAGAGTTCTTTCAAGGAGTAGCTTAATGAAGTCCTAACGCTGGCCTGAAGAAGAAAGCAAAGAGAAAACTCAGGCCCGCTGTCATTTCCTAAAGCTACTTTTAAAATCAGGCTATCAATTAAACTAAGCAAAAGCTTCAGAAATTCAGAGAGAATGTTCTGAATAAATGGTTATTTTGCAGTGACTAAAATGGCAGTAGTCACTTTGGTTAATCAGTAACATATACTCAAGAACAGGATCAGAAAAAATAAAATAGAAGGGCCTTATTTTAAAAATCATGTGGATACTATTCTATTATCTCTCAAGGAATAAAAATAGCATTTTTATTAGCTTTAAAAAGCATAAGCAAAAGTAATCCATTACTTTTCCAAGTCAGTTGCAGACTGTTTCTCTTAATTGACTTTTTCAAGTCAATTGCAGACTGTTTCCTACTCTATCTGCATCCCCACAACCTTTTCTCAATTCTGCCTGCAATTATAGCCTTTCACATCAACAGCCTGGCCTGTGGATCCAAAATACCAAAGCAAGGCTCTGAATTTTTATATATATATAACATCTAGGTATGTGCCAATTTGCACAGATAATTTAGCAGTTAAAATTGTGCGATTCCAAATGTTTTAGGTTTTAATTCATATTTAGAATCCAAGAAGATAGTTACACACACACAAACACACACACGAGACACACCCACATTATTACTATATATCTTCAGCCAGAGAACCTCACATTCAAGTTATAGATCATCAGTCCCTAGTAACCTCAGTAATAGCAAACCTGCAGGAAGAGTTTGTGTGATAAGACATCTATGGACAATTTGTACTTCTTTATGGATAGCTTAGATAGGCTTCAAATAGTACATGTTCTAAATCCGGTGTTAAACCAAAACATAACATTTTAATACTATTTAGCATAATCACTTGGTTGTATGTATGGAATAGACACTGTAGTTTGTGCAAAAAGAATATGCATTGTGTAAAGAAACAATAAAACTATTATACTAACGTCTTAATTTTTTTAAACATATAACTAAACGGTAAGACATTACAAGGTGCAAACTGCAATTATACTTCACCAACAACATACAATATAATAAATAGATGCATCTGTAGCTGTCCTCAGTGCCATTTATTAATCATTAAATAGCATCAGTATTAAATAACATCAGTATTAAATAACATCAGTGCCTGTAACCTCTGAACATTCATTTCTCCACCTTACCCATATGGATAGTTTTATTTATTTATTTTTTGTAGAGATGGCTTTCATGAAACATATTTCATCTTCCTTTATAAGCTAAGAATGTTGCCTTTTCAGATCTTGAAGCAATTTGCAAATGCACATTGCAACATGCCTGCATTGGATGCTGCTATTGGAATACTGAAGAATAGAATGAAAAACAATACTTCCAGTAAGAACCCTCAAGGAAGAGGGGTTCCATGAGTTAGTTTTGAGATTTTCAGCTACATTTCAAAAGAATTTTGTGTTTTCTGCCCAAATTGCCAGAGCGTGTTTGATTTGGGGTATACCAAAGGACCGCTACCTCGGCTTTCTTGGTTGTTTGCTTTTAGCATTAAAAACAACTTAGTTAACCTTCTGCGTTTTAGGAGCAGCAAAACACAATATATGCTTTCACGTTTAACAGAGGCTCAGAAATAATAGTAGTATCAATGAGTCAGGCTGGCTTTCTGTTGATTGATGGCCTTACTTACAGAAGAAAATGAGTGGATGTGGTGCAAAGCACTTTATTAATCATTTTTAAACTCCGAGTTTCTGAATGGCACTCTTTCATTATCCTCCTAAATGAAATCAACCAGAGTACCTTATTTGCCTATATATCTTAAAATTAAGAAAAAAGTTAATACCCTACATTCATATCAGATGATTCTTCGGCAGTTAAAAGAAAAAAAAAAAGTGGTGTGCTGGATTTACTTCTGTTAACGAGCCCAGCCATTAACAAACCACAGAAGCAAGGTCTCCTCTCATTTCTTCTCATTGTTGGTGACTTACTGCCAGATGATAATCAACAAGTGTCTCTTTCTACAGCCAATCAATCAGTCAATCAGAGCTTTTATTAAATAATTATAATGTCTTTAACATGACATTAAACTCTAAAAAAAATACCGTGGAATGTCCGAACTATAGTCGTTGAAGATATTCACAAAACGAAGGTAAACATGTCTCCGGAATGCTCCAATGCTGTTTTGATTTCTGGGTTTTCCATAATAAAAACATTAATAAAGAGCTGTGTTGTTATGCCTTAGGACTCATCAGCCTACTTTCATGAAAAAGTACAGAGGACATGATCCTCACAGTCTTACAGAGACACAGGCGTCAACCAAAAAGGAAAACAATTTTTAGTTCTAAGTTTAGTGAATTTACTAAACTAGGCTGTTTATAGTTTCCAAGCTTGGCTATAGAATGATATTTAGCCTTTGGATAGTGGATGGTCCCACGTGCCTGATGCGTATTAGACATTCATATGACTTATATAGGAAAAAAATAATAAAATGCGGAATATAGAGAAAATAAATTTGAACAAAACAAATAATCTTACACTGAATACTCCCACCTATATTCTCTTCACTAGTGAAAAAGAAAAAAAAAAAAAACAAAAAAACTCCAAGAGAGTGAAGGTAAAAATTACAGAAAGGAAAAATTAAAGTGGAAACAAAAAATGTTTGCCAAAGGGAAACACACTTCAGATAAAAATAAACAAAATTCTCTTTGCATTTTTGTACTCATAATTTTTCCACTGGGTACATTTGCACAGTTGGAATTAGAAAAAAAAAAAAAAAACAGCAAATTTCCCACTAGCACATTTGTTAGAAGAGGAAAAAAGGAAAAAAGCCCCGTAGGTCAAGTCTCACAGAGAGAATGCCAAATGTCTTTGTGTCCAGTTATTTATGGTTTCAGATAATTGTACAGAAAATATCAAATTTGCATAGTGTGATTATTGCTGATTATTTATCTAGCAGTCAAAATGTTTCAGTGGTTCCTAGGATGACAGATTGACAAGTCCTTAAAACTCATTCATTTTATGAAATTTGCATGTAATTAGGCAATAATGAAGGGATGTTTGTGGACAGAGGATTATACTACAATATGCTGGAAGCAATTCAAATGCTTGACAAAGTGTTAACATTATCTTCAGATTCAACTAAGCCTTAAATGCTTGGCTAAAAATCACTAAATGCATGAATTGAGTAAAGAAGATTTAGAAAATTATCAATGGAGTAAAATGTGTTTTTTTTCCCACTCTTTAAAGCACATTCACTCACTAGACTTAACTATATTGGGGAGTATTGTTGAATTCAAATGAGTCAGTAATGGTCTAAGATTTGAAGAGTAAAGGTGGGGAGAAAGGCCAAGATGGTGATGTGAAAAGGGCCATCTCAGGTGTCCACCAATCCTGTCTACGAATTGAGCTAAGCCCCTCTCAAGGTGGTGACCTTGGACAGATTATGCCTGAAACTCAGTGCTTCTGCACACCATGGTGTGTAGATTTGAGACAGTAGTCTATTTCCTCAAGTCTGAAAAACAGTTTTTCCTCCCACTTCTAATGGCTTTTAAAGCCTGGACGTTTCCTGCAATTGAGGTTTTCATGTAAAGTAATAACGTTTCTTTTCTCCCCCAGAAAAAAAAAGTTACATATTTCAATTCATAGCATCTTAAAATTAAAGAATTATAGTGACAAGCACAATGCCAGATGATATAAAGACAGTCACAAAAAAAAAAATGATACCTATTATTATGTGGTCTTCCAGCTGAAATCCTACACCATTGCTTTTCCAGGGTTGAGATGGACATTATAAAATCTGCATTTGAAAGTTATAGATTGTCTCTGATCTGCACACAGAAACGTCTTTTCAAGTAATTGATGTGTATTATGTAAAACGCTTCCTTTCAAAACCAGACTACCTGAAGTATTGGATTATTATAGTAATTTAAATCAATGAAAATCTTAACAAAGGTTTATGGAGAGTTATAAGAGGAATAAAAGTTATTTCTTTTGACTGCGGGATCCATAATTTATACCTTGATTTGAGAAGATAGGTGCTTATTACTTTGTGATTTTACTAAGGATTTTTAATAGTGTTTTGGGGGTACTGAGTGTGGGAGAAGACAACCACATTTTAAAACAAAATATCCAACTAATTTTCTGTGCATAGACTGTAGAAAGCCTTGAATTTCATTCCAAAATGTGTAAACCTAGTCGGTAGACAATGAGGAAGCCAACAGGTGTTTTCCATCAGGAAATTCACCCAATCAACCACACAGACAAAGAGCTTTTAAAATCTAAGAACTCCTCAAAAACCATCCATTTATATATTTTTGCATCTCATGCTGTAACTCATTAGTCAAAGTAGGTAAATTTTAGACATTACACTTCAATATTGAAGTCATACCAAAATGCTGAAAAGAGTAAAGACATCTCAATCTTTGGTAGACTCTCATAGGATTCTTTCACTGAGATGGTTAAATTGAAAGTTGGTGAGTCATGGTAAGCTAATAGCTATAAACAACATCCCCACCCCCCAATATCATATAATTAGTGTCATAAAGCTCAAAGTGGGTTGGTAGCAGAGCTCTGCTCTATGCAGATACTCATGAAGTCAAGTGCCTTCAAACAAATGGTCCCACAATTTTCAGGGCCTCTGAGTCCTGCACCAGACCCATTGCAACCAGTCAGAAGTCAAGACAGACAGAGAGCTGGAGGGTGGGGTGGAAAGTATTTTTGAAGTTCAGGCTGGGCAGTGATGGCCCAGGTCCACTCCATGCACTGAATCTAGTCATAGCGATGCTGAAAAGGTGACCTAGCTGTGTGCCAAGAAGAAAAAGGACATAGAATTTGGCATACACATAGCTTTGTGTCTGCAACATATTGCCTGGTTATTGCTAATAGCTGACCATTGTTTGATTATTCTGTTAATCAGCTGCTATCTCTTTGAAGCAAAGTTTCTCCAAAGACTCCTCTATAGTGATATCTTTAGCCTTTCTCTTCTTATTTTCTCTTAAATTTAACTCTGTTTGGCCTATATCAACAAAGCTGTTCTCATCAAGGTCATCAGTGACCTCCACCTTCAAAAACATGATAGTTATTCTTCAGTTCTCATTGTACTGGACCTGCCAGCAGGCTCTGCCTGAGAATATTATCCTTACTTGGCTTCCAGGACATGACTCTCTCCTTGTTTTATTTCCCCTATCTCACTGTTTGCTGCTTCTCAATTTTCTTTGCTGGTTCCTTATTCTTTATTCAACCTCTAAAAGTTGGACTGTTGTTCTTCCTACATTTGTGTCCACATTATATATTTAGCTCAGATGTCTCTCTGAAACTCCAGATCCATATATCCAATCAGCTACTCGGCTTTTCCACCTGAGTTACTAATAGACCTGTTAAACTTAACATGCTTAAACTGAGCTCTAATTTACTGTGCCAAACTCCTTGTCCTCCATCAGTGGCAAGACCATCTTTCTACCCGCATATATATTGAAAACAAACAAACAATCAAAAACCCTTGATTCCTCTTGCTTTTAGCTCCACGACGATCTTGGTGGTGGATGCTTTAGGCTCTGCTTTTAGACTCTTTCTGGAATCTGACCACCCCCACTCATCTAAGCCATCAGCACCTCTGTCCAGGATGACTGTGGCAGCTCCCAGCTGTTCTTCAGTACACATCCTTCCTCCAAGTGGCCACAGTGATCTCCTAAAAATTCAAGTTAGATATTTCACTCATTTACTTAACACCTCTATTTCCCATCTTCCTCTGATGTGAGACCAAAGCCCTTCCCATCACTTAAACCCCTTCATCATCTGGCCCCTATTCCCTCTCTGGCCTCCCTTTCTTCTGCTTCCCCCACTAGTGCTTCTGCTTCAGCCATACAGGCCTCCAAATACTCCCTCAAACATTTCAAGGCTGCCACTCCCCCTCCACAACTCCTCAACATTTAGCACTTTTTGTATCCTCGGCCTAAGATCATCATCCCAAAATTTCCTTACGGTTCATTCTTTCACTTCCTGAGGTCTTCTCAGTGAGGGCTTCTTTGACAATCTATGTTATATTGCAAATGACACTACCTACCCTCCACCTCAGCACTCTCAATCTCCTTCCCTCACTCTTCTCTTTGTCCTATTACTCTCAAATATCCCACATATTTTATTGGTTTATGTTGGTTATGATCTCTTTCTTCCAAATGTTGTTTTGGTTAGTGTGAATCCCCAGTGCCTAGAAGTATGCCTGACATGATAGGCACTTCATAAATATTTAATGAAAAAGTGAATGAATGAATTTCCCCAGCTGGTGTCAGGACCAACTTAAAAAAGAAATTAAGAACAGCCTATCTCTAAATCAGAGCATTTCTAGAGAAAAAGAATTCAGTGAAAGGACTGAAATCGCTAATGGAGCCTGTCAGCAATGAAAATGCCAGAGTGGGAGATAATGATCGTATGTGGTACGTGTACAATCTAAGAATAGGATCTGTATCCTTAAAGTCATTAACTCCATAATTGACTCAACTTTCCTACCAGAATAAGAGAGAAGACCCTTGCATGGGATTCCAGGAGCATGGATTTGGTGTGAGCATAGATGGACCCGGCCTGTGAGGTTGGGGCATGGAGAACAGGATATATAGAAAAAATACAGTTTCCTAGGCCACACCCAGTAAGTCAGGACAGACTGTCAAATCCGGGTCAGGAAAGGTAGAATAAGAGAGAATCCACAGGAAGAACAAAATGTGAATTCAAAAGTCATCCTTTGAAGCAATAGTTATAGCAAATGATGGGAGCAATTTATAGGGCATCTGTGGTGTCACCTGCAAGTGCATAAGGAGCTTTAGGCAGCTGCTTTGTTCAGACAATAAGTATATTCATATGCAAATCAGAGCAAAAATCAATGTCCATTGTTGGGGAAGAGGTACTGGTGAAACTCACATCCATAGACTGCTGGTGGAACAACAGGGGCAGTATTTTTTTTTTTTTTTTTTTTTTGAGACGGAGTCTCGCTCTGTCACCCAAGTTGGAGTGCAGTGGCGCAATCTCGGCTCACTGCAAGCTCCGCCTCCCGGTTCACGCCATTATCCTGCCTCAGCCTCCCGAGTAGCTGGGACTACAGGCGCCCGCCACCATGCCCAGCTAATTTTTTGTATTTTTAGTAGAGACGGGGTTTCACTGTGTTAGCCAGCATGGTCTCGATCGCCTGACCTCATGATCCACCCACCTCAGCCTCCCAAAGTGCTGAGATTACAGGCGTGAGCCACCGCCCCTGGCCAGGGCAGTATTTTTACAAGGAAAAATAGTAATGTATAAAGTTATAAAAGTCATATCTTTCATGTAGGTCATACCATAACTTGGAATTTATTCTATGAAAAAATAATTAAACAAAAGAAAATAATTACATGCTCTAAAACACATTGTTGCAGTGTCTGTCAAAACCAGAAATTTGATACACCTACAAGTTCATCAACAGATATTATGCTGCCTTTAAAATGATAAGTTGCAAAGACTATGTAAGACAGTAGATAGCAGATCTTTTCTATAAAGGGCCAGAGAAAAAATATTTTAGGCTTTGAAGGCCATAAGGGAGTCATAGATGATATATAAACAAATGGGCAAGGTTGTTGTATCAGCCTGGTAGGGCTGACTTAATAGATAACATAAGCTGAGTGGCTTACACAACAGAAATTTATTTTCTCACAATTCTACAAGCTGGAAATCCAACATCAAGGTATTGACCAATCTAGTGTCTTCTGAGGCCTCTCTTCTTGGCTTGCAGACGGCTGCCTTCTTGCCATGTCTTCACATGCCCTCCCTCTGTGTGCACACTCCTGGCATCTCGCTCTCTTCTTATGAGGACATCAATTCTATTGGATCAGGTCCTATCCTTGTGGCTTCATTCAGCTTGAATAATCTCTTTAAAGGCCCTGTGTCTAAATACAGTCTTACTGTGGGTTAGGGTGTTCACACACGAATTTTAAGGAGGCATAATTCTGTACATAATAGCTGTGTTCTAATAAAACCTTAATTTCAAAAATAGGCAAGGGGTTCTATTTGATCCATGGGCCATCATTTGCTGACACCTGATTCAGAAGCATGGTACATATACCTAATATATGAATCGCAATATTAAATTATTTTGAAAGCACAACATGTAACTGTACATGCCAAGATTACAGTTATAAAAATATCAATATGCCCATAGGCATCTGGTCTGGTAATGTTTCCTTTTGTTCATTGTGTTTATTATTAATACTGCTACATTGGTAACAGGAAAAAGGTGGAGAGGATGAGGAAAAATGAAGAGAAGGAAGAAAATACTGGGAGTAAAAGCAAGCATTTAGTGTGCTTTTCCTCTAAGTCAGGTCCTCTGCTGAACGCTTTCTAGCCACTCTTGCATTAACTTCTCACAACAGAGTCAAGTCTTGTTTCCAAACCACTTCACAGATACGAAAACTGAGGCTGAGTAAGTTAAGTGAATCACCCAGGGTCTAACAGCTCATTTGAGACCCAGGTTTGTCTAACTCCAGAATCTAAAGTCTTAACCACGGTTGCTCTCAACTTCTTTGATTATCCACAGTTTTTATACTAAGAAAATATGATTAAAGAATTATATTCATTTGCAAATAGTATACATTGAATACAAATTAGACAAGCACCTTATGTAGCTACAAACACAGTAGGATAGCGTTGTTTTGAAAGGTAATAGATGAACCATACGAAATTCACTTTATTATAAGTACAAAATGTTCAAATATGGAAAATTTCATATGATTCAACTTAATTTTCAACTCAAAATCAAGGTAGATCTTGGCTCTGGCATTGGATGCCACTCAGGTGGGCCCACCTCATGAAAGCTTTTCCAAGGTAAACATTAAGGCCTGCCGCAGCCTGGAGAATCAAATCAGCCCAAACAAGGTACAAAGATTTCCATTTACTGGGCTACAGCAGAGGAGGGTCTTCAAAAGTATTTACACATTCTTTGCTAGCGATGTGCTTCATGTTTGGGTGCAAAATATAAATAGGCTGAAAAATATTTGTTTATTATTTTAGGAAATTTAGAAGTTGTGAAAAATGTCAAATTTAACAACCCCTGAGACTGAAACTCTTTATCCATTTGCCTGACTGCATATGGAGTTTGGGAGATTGCACTGCTAACTTCTACCCTAGGCTTGCCTCTCCAATGAGTTTGAACTCTGAGCAGAAAGGACTGCTTCTCACTACAAGGGAATTCACTGGTCTTAGGATGTTTTTTTTCTTGGTCTCCGAGCCCAGAAATAGGATTAATGCCAAGTCTATTGGTCAGTGGTCAGAAATTGCCACATGTCAATCACTGAAGAGTTGAAAGACCATCCTCTCACAATTGCCTAAGTGTTAAGTGGTTCAGAAGCTACTAACCAGTTGAAAAACTGTTAATCAGATAAACTATTAAACAGGAGTCACAGAGGACACTAGCAGAGGAAAGGCTGCATGGTCATCTGAGAGCTAAGGACCTGGGCCTACCTGTTGATTGTGGTCCATTGGTGCGCTGGGGCCCATAATCATTAAAGACACCCTCCCACAGAAGCGCTTCCTGGGGCCTGAATGGATACAGCCTCAGTCGGACAGTGAAGAGTTGGAAATAGGCAAAGATTCATGCATTGCTCTAGCATATAAAACCTCTTGTGGAGTTGGAAATACCTGCTAACCAAAATGGACCATGGGAGAGTTAAAGACATTTCAGACAATTCTCAGAGATACCAGTAGTATTTCTGAGTGTGTGTGAGCTCTGTTTGTGGTTCAGGATCAATGGAGCTTCCAAAAAATGTTTTCCATAGTACACTTCTCTTCTGGCCTCCTGGTGGGAAAACACAATGTGTGATATCATGCCAAGGCACACCATGTATGATTAATCAGAGTCTATCAGATTCTCCATGTATTACATCTCATGAAAAAAAAGAAGTTGAGCAGCATCACCGATGAGTCAGATATTGAAACTCAGGATGCCCCATTCCAGCTCCTTTGCAGAAATTAGATACTTAGTGTAGCCCATGCCCAGCAGAGAGCCAGCATTCATCTGATGTTTGGTTTCATTCTTTAAAAAATTAATGCATTAAAAAAGACTGGCTCCAGGCATGTAAAATTAAGCCAAGGCACTCCCCATTTTACCAGGCAAAGGAGGTAATGATCTTCTCTATACTCATCTCTCTTCTTCTTAAAGTTTTGCAGCTAATATTCTCTATTACATGTACCCTGGACACTCATTAGAGCCTGAAGCTGCTATTCCAACATGTGTGGGTGAGGGCATGAGAGGTGTAGGTGATTTTATTGGATCCCACCCTCCCTATGATTTGATTACCTCATCACTCAAAATTACTTAGCCTATTAAATTCAGTGCCCGCCATTTCTCCACCTCCTGCCTCACTTCTGTCTCCCTGACCTTCCTTTTCCACTGAAGCTACTTGTTGTTTGTCTTGCTACAATAAATAAAACCCACTGAGCTTCCAGGATCTCCACGTACAGACCACATTCTTCATCAAATTACATGCTTACCATCTTCATTAAGGTGGAGGTGGGGAAGGGAAACGGAAGGTCAACTGCATGCTGTGATTTATTCTTCAATCAAAACCCTTAGAAAGAGCACTCTTATTCACCCTGTAAACCAATTCTTTAAGGAGGTTTCCATGCCTCTGCCAGTCATGGAATAATTCCCAAATATGCACATTGCAGGAGGCCCCCTCATACTTTATTAGCAAACTAACCAGGCCGGGCATGGTGGCTTATACCTGTAATCCCAGCACTTTGGGAGGCTGAGACCGGCAGATCATGAGGCCAAGAGATTGAGGCCATCCTGGCCAACATGGCGAAACTCCGTTTCTACTAAAAATATAAAAACTAGCTGGGCGTGGTGGCACGAACCTGTAGTACCAGCTGCTTGAGAGGCTGGGGCAGGAGAATCACTTGAACCCAGGAGGCGGAGGTTGCAGTGAGCCATCGCCCCACTGCAGTCCAGCCTGGCAACAGAGTGAGACTCCGTCTCAAAAGAAAAAAAAAGAAAAGAAAACTAACCAACTGGTTCATTGATAGTTTCTATATTCTAACTGTATCTCATTTAAGTGTGAATGCTATTTCTGAACAATCCCTGTGTAATGTGGCACATCTGTGCCCAAATCCCTAGAACCTATAAATACCATCATTTTTGGAAAAAGGAGTCTTTGGATTAAGTTAAGGATCTTGAGATGAGATCATCATAGATGACTCAGGTGGGACATAAATCCAATGATATGTCCTTATAAGAAACAGAAGAGATGAAGACACACAAAGAAGAAGGTGCTATAAAGACAGAGGCAGAGACTAGAGTGATTAAGCCACAAGCTAAGGAGGCCAAGAGGCCAAGGATTGCTGATAACCACCAGAAACTGGAAGGGGCAAGGAAGGATTCTCTTCCAGAACCTTCAGAGGAAGCATGTCCCTGCTGACATCTTGATGTTGGACTTTTGGCCTCCAGAACTGTGAAATAATGAATTTTTGCTGTTTTAAGCCATCCGGTTTATGATAATTTTTATGGCAAACCTAGGACTCTAATGTGCCCACTCTTTCAAATACTTTTTGGAAATGAACCTTCTTCAATAATTCCACCCCAAATAAGAGAAAATCTAGTGTGATTTATAATGTGATATGGAGGATGCTTTCTGTAAAGAGGAATCATGTCTGACTAATTCATTCAACAAATATTTAGCCATTCAACAAATATTTATTGAATGTGAGCTCGCTGCCAGGCCCTGTAATAAATGCTGGAGATGAATTCTTTCCCTCGGGGATCTTATGTTCTAATCTTACCAGAGCTCTTTGATGAAGGCAGGAGGTGTTTATAAATAAGCAATTAAACAAGGGACAGCTGGTGGCCCTAATGCAGTTAGATTTCAAATGTCTTGCAAAAATTCTGTGCAAAATAAACATTCAAAATGGAGGTAGTCTGGCATCAGAGCAATGCTTGGTTATAGACCAATAACCAGCTCAGAAAAAAGAATCAAGAAATAGAAATGAACAAGCTCTTTTCACTATAGAAAATTGAGCTCTGTGACCAAAAACTTAATTTGAAACTATTTGAAATGAGGAGTATATAGTGAAATCTCCAAGTTGCTGCGGCTAATAAGCTGCTCCAAGTAGTGAGATGTCAAACTGTTACCAGTGAAACCTCACGAATGAGTAGAAAAATGGCCAATGAACTTCAGCATAAGCAAGGATGGACAAGTTAAAACTGTGGTGGCAGGGGAATCAGCTAAGGCCTTCTTCCAGTGATTAGCTCTTAGCATCTTTCCTTTTGATCATCCAGAAGTGATTCTAGTTTCTTATCCAAACTGTACACCAGTCCAGCCCATCTTCATCCCCCAAAATTACTTCTAAAATTTAGGACATAATTAATAAAGTTATTGGAAATGAAAACAGAAAACAGAATCAAACATTAAACAATTCTTATACTTGCAGTGACACAGAAGTGTTTGCCTCTTCATAGCCAAGAAAATATTCATTGAGTATGGAACGCAGAGGCATAGAGGTCTACCATATAAAAACAGAGTGAATAAAACAGTATTATTATGTGCAGAAATGGAAAGCACACCACCTGGGTTAGTAAAGGTTATGCACACTTAAAGGATATGGGTGATTCATCACTGATTATTACATGAAACTCTAGATAGACTTGAAAGGCTCCCTTTGAAGTTTATTGTGTGTGTGTGTGTGTGTGTGTGCGCTGTGTATACACATATACAGCAGATGTTTGATACATATTTATTGGTTGATTATTAATTGAAAAAGTACCACAGAGCAAACAAAGGGCAAGCTATTTCATCAAGCGAGGAGTAAATTTAAGGAACTTGTTAATCATGAAGATTATATGGACTGACCACAGAAATAGACTCCAAAGGTCGGGGAGGACGTGTACTGACGTAATCTACATAAGTTATTGCAGGAAAAAGTTTTCAAGGGTGGGAGAAATAAGAAGTTTCCACAGGATTGGTATGAGGAAAAGATGATGAAACTGTAATAATATTTGGTAATTGATATTTTGAAAATTTTACACTAAAATATTTTGAAACCGAACAAAAGAAACACTAAGTAAAAGAGATCCATGGTTTGAGCTATATACAATCTCTTTTTATTGTTTTTATAAATCATTATTTTAAACTTTAAAAATACATATGCGCACACACACTCTCTTTTATTCTTTTGGGGGTTTGGGGGAGTAGCATATTCTGTACATCACCCCATATATTGCTTATTTTTACTTGAACAACCCTATGTATTTGTATATAAATAATATTTTCATTTTTTTAAAAAGCTGTATAATATTTTATTATACACACACAGCATAACTTATTCAACAGGACCCTAGTGATGAACAGTAAGTTCTTCTGAACTTTTCTGTTTTTACAAACAGTGTTTCATTGAATAATTGTGCCTCTGTGGGTATATCTATAGCATAAAAATTTCTAAAAGTGAAATTACTGAATCAAAAAGTCTGTACATTTTTAATTTTAATAAATGGTACCAAATTGTCTTCCATAATGTTATATCAATGTATGCCAATATAATGTCATATAAAATTTCTTATGTTTCTAAACAAATATTTTACTGCCCTGTCTAGCGCTAAATCCTGATATATTCCTGTCTAGGCTCACTTCACTATATTTAGGCAAACTGACTAAATGCAAGATACTATACACTGTATTTCTGGATATTTGTCCACATCATTAGCATCTTCTGTGTGCTCCTGAAGGAAGGTGTCATTTCCCCTGACCTTGCTTGATAAGATTCCCAGAAGAGATCCAGGCATGTGTAGCACTTGAGAAATGCTATTTGATATTGATGATAATGACAAATGACATTTTAATTTACTAAAAGAGCAATTCAAGCTTCAGAAATCTTGGAGTCTCACTAAAAATAATACACAACAACAGTCTACCCTTGCTATCCTTTTCATGGTCAGCTAATAAAAATACTTTTAATATAACAGTTCTGTTTGAATAGTATTAACTTGATATTAGTTTTGTATTTTTATAGACTTCAATTTGTGCTGATTCCTTAGGAAAAACAGATTTACATTTGATAAAATATTTCATCCTCTATTTCCTTTGCTGTTTCTGAAATACAAAGTATATTCATAAAACCCAAAGTGTCTGTTAAAAGTAAGAATGAATGGAGTCCCCAAAAGTGATTTATCTCTATCGCTTGAGGGGCTAATACATCATATGCAGTTATAACGGCAGCCGCAGATACCAAGATAACATTGTGTGAGTTGAGTTCGACATGTAGAGTACTCCATGGGAGCCTTTAAGTGAAATTTTATATCAGGTCCTAACAATTTATATAATCATGAAAACATTTTATCTAAGTTCTTGTGCCTCAAATCTGGGCTGCAGAGAAGGCTGATACGCATTTAGAGCTCTCCTGTCTGGAAGCTTGCCTTGTTGTCAAAGGTAATGCAGGTCATGTACTCACACACATCATAAACACATATAACTGTGTATTGAATAAACTGGTGAAAATGGAGAGGAATCTAAAATTATAGTATTTAGGTATATGGAAATAAATGGTAGATATTCACCTTAAGCAACCTCTGGTAGAAGCAAAGTCAGAATAAGTGATTTTAGTTTTGAAGAACATGTGGCTTACTAACCTTCCCTCAGCCCACAGTACATACAGTAAAATCCATGGTATAGCAGGGTAGTCTGTAGAGATTTTTTTATGTAACTTCTTCAAAGAGTCTCAACTGAACAAAAGAGATAAGCTAAATTTGAGTTAGAATATCTCTGACGGAAGCAAAGAAGGAGAGGTTGGAAAAGGTATACAAACGAGAGAAGCTATGATGAGGAAAAGCAAAGAGATAGCAAATGTGGTGCTCAGGGGAAAGAAAAAAAGAATAAATGTTAAGGAAATACTACACGCTGCACAGCAGAAAGTATAGCTTATAAATATTAAAAGTTAAGGATTTAAATTTTTAAAGAGGGGCAGTCTAAATGCTGTGCACATAAATGAAATCCTAAATCCTACAGAATTACATGAACAATTAAGTCAAAATTAAGATGGGATGATTCAGGAGATTGGAAGGAGAGAATTGAAGCCTTGTAGAACCATCAGTTTAACAAAATTACTCTCATATCTGTTCTTTTTTCTTAATTAAATGAAATTGAGGGAGTGACTTGTGAGAAGTATATTATTTAATGTAGCTCTTCTGATAATGAAGCTCAGATGACTTGAAACAAATTAACTGTAAGGAGCAAAAAGGTGGGTGGTTGATAGTTTTCAACTATCTTGCCATGAGCCAAAAAGTGTGATCAACATGGGCCATCAGTCAGGGTGCCAGAATTAGATGGATCACACAGACAAAGAAAACTGGGGAAAATTGAATAAAGAACTATTTACAAAGGTGTGAGAGGATTAAGGTAAGGAAACAAAGGAGAGTGGACACTCTGGGGCTGGCCACAGCAAGAAGACAATCCCACACCTGGGCATCAGGGGCAAGGTGAGTGCATACTTTCCTGAATCCAGCAAAAGGAACTATGACTTCCACAGAGGAAAACAATGATCAAATTTAGCCCTACAGAAGGGAAGAAGAGGGCTCATGACCTGAAGTCACTGTCTTCCTTCCTACCAATTGCCTGACATTTTTTCCTACTGGACAAAAAAAAAAGCAGAGTCAAGGGGCACGGGAGCCATGGATACAAGCCCATAAATGCCACATCCTCAGGGCAAAGAGCAGGGTATAGGAAATCTAGAAGAACTGAATGGGTACATGGAAAACAACTAGCAAAATGAGCAAACTTTAACAAAAATATATTGTTGATCAAAGTTATTTGTCCTGGAATTGGTTGCATCATTTATGAAGTCAAACTCTTTAAGAGCAAAGTAGACCTCTGATAATTCTGCATTAACTCTTTCTTGCTCAAGACTCCATATGAAGAACTATAGCTTCTTTGATCCCATTGGTTACGGTCAGTCAGTAAGGAAGACAGCACCACCAGTCCTACCTGTGTATCTGTCATGGAGCACTTAGCTTTATTCTTCTTCATGACATCAGATTAAACCTTCAGAAGCTATGTAAATTTTAGCAATATTTCCATTTAAGAAGTTGAAAAGAAAGAATCTAGATAAACAGATATACATCTGTTGCTATTGTACTTCCAGGAAAATGTCAACTTGAAGTTTAAGTCTTATTAATGTGACTTAGTAGAATCAACTTACTTATTGAAAATAATTTGTAAATCACAACCTATGAAACTGAAAAATGTTGACAATTTTCCAAAATTGCATGATTAATTACTAAGATTGGCATGTGTATTTATGAAATGTGATTGAAAATTCAGAAAGGAGACTAGGTCAAGCAGAAGAAAGATCTTCTGAACCTGAAGACAGGTCTTTTGAAACAATCCAGTCAGATAAAGAGAAAAAGAAGAGAAAGAACAAGAGGAGGAGGAAGAAGAAGAAGAAGAGGGAGGAGGATGAGGAGGAGGGAGGAGGAAGAGGGAGGAGGAGGAGGGAGGAGGACGAGGAGGGAGGAGGAGGAGAAGGAGGAGGAGGAAGAAGAAGAAGGAAAAAGAAGAAGAAGGAGAAGGAGGAGGAGGAGGAAGAGGAGAAAGAGGAAGAGGAGGAGGAGGAGGGGTAGGATAAGATAGAAAATATAATGAAGAAAGCCTATGGAACGTGTGGTAAACCATTAAATAAACAAATTTTCACATGGGAATTTAGATGAGAAAAGACACAGAAAACCTATTTAGACCAGTTTCAGTGCCTCACACCTGTAATTCCAGTGCACTGGGAGGCCGAGAGGGAAATATCACTTAAGGAGTTCAAGACCAGCTTGGGAAACATAGCAAGGTGCTGACTCTCCAAAAAGCTAAGTGTGGTGATGCATGCCAGTAGTCCCAGCTATTCAGGAGGCTGAGGTGAGAGAATTCCTTGAGCCCAGGAGTTTGAGGTTGCACTGAGCTATGATGGCACAACTGCACTCCAGCCTGAGTGACAGAGCAAGACCCTATCTCAAAAAAAAATAAAAATAAAAATAACAAAAAGAAAATTTAAAAAAAATTATTATTTAATGAAATAATAGCTAACAGCTTCCCAAGTCTTGGGAGAGATGTGGACATCCAGATACAGGAAGCCCAAAGATTCCCCAGAGAGATTCAATCCAAAATGTCTTCTCAGAGGTGCATAATAGTCAGAAGTCAAAGAACAAGGGTGAATTTTTAAAAGAAGAAGAAAAAAATGTCAAGTCACACATATGAAAATCTCAATTGTTATAACAACAGCTTACTCAGCAGAAACTGTATAGGCCAGAGAAAATGAGTGTTGAGAGAAAAAGAAACTGTCAGCCAAGAATACTATACTCAATAAACTATCCTTCAGAAATAAAGGGGAAGTCTTCCCAAGTGAGCAAAAACTGAGGGAATTCAAAACCACTAGACCATCCCTACAAGAAATGCTTAAGAGAATACTACATCTGGAAGTGAAAGGACAATATTTATCACCATGAAAACACATGAAAGTATAAAACTCACTAGTAAAGCAGATACATAAATGAAAAAGAAAGAAATCAAATGTTATCACTACAGAAAACCACCAAACCATAAAGTTAGACAACAAGAGAGGAAGAAAGGAAAAAAAGTATACAAGACTACCAGAAAACAACAAAATGAGAGGAGTGAGACCTTACCTGCCAATACTAATTTTGAATATAAATGGTTTAAATTCCCCAGTTAAAAGACATAGACTGGCTAACAGGATAAAAATAACATCCAACTATATGTTATATGCTGCCTACAAGAAACTCACTTCATCTGTAAAGAGAAACATAGACTGAAAGGGAAAGGATGCAAAAAGATACTCCATTTGAGCAGAAACCAAAAGCAAACAGGAGTAGCTACAATTATATAAGATAAAGTAGGCTTTCATTTAAAAGAAGATTAAAAATAAATAAAGTCAATATATAATGATAATCAATTCAGCAGAAAGATACAAAAATTTTAAATATATGGGCACCCACTACAGGCGCATCCAGTTATATAAAGCAAGTATTATTAATATTAGAGCTAAAGAGAGAGAGAGGGAGCCCAACATAATAACAGTTGGAGACTTCAACACCCTACTCTCAGCATTGAACAGGTCGTCTAAGCAAAAAACCAACAAAGAAACATCAGATTTAAACTGTACTATAGACTGAAAGGAGCTAACAGACATTTACAGAACATTTCAAAAACTCCAGAATATATATTCTTCTTATCAGCAGATGGAATCTTTTTCAGAGTAGAACACATGTTAGGCCACAAAACAAGTCTCAACCAATTTTTAAACATTGAAATTATATCAGACAATAATAGGATAAAACTAGGAATCAATGACCAAAAGAAACTTTGGAAATTGCACAAATAAATAAAAATTAAACAACTTGCTCCTGAATGACCAATGGGTCAATAAAGAAATTAAGAAGAAAATCAACAAATTTCTTGAAGCAAATGAAAATAAAATACAACCTACAAAAACCCATGGGATATAGCAAAAGCAGTACTAAGAAATAAGTTTATAGAAATAAACACTACATCAAAAAAGTAGAAAGCTTTCAAACAAACAATTTAATGATGTACCTCAATGATCTAGAAAAGCAAGAACAAACAAAACCTCAAATTAGTGGAAGGAAAGAAATAACAAATATAAGAGCAAAAATCAATGAAATTGAGGCTGAAAAAAATGATGTTTTAAAAAGATAAAGAAAATTGACAAACCATTAGCTTAGATAACTAAGACAAAATGAGAGAAGTGTCAAATGAATAAAACCAGAAACAAACCAAAAAAGAAATTACAACAGATAGCACAGAAATACAAAGACTCACTAGATACTATTATCAACAGCTGTGTCCAACAAATTAGAAAACCTAGAATAAATGTATAAATTTCTAGACACATGTAAACTATCAAGATTGAACTAAGAAGAAACAGAAAACCTGAACTGACCAGTAATGAGTAACAAGATTAAATCAGTAATAAAATCTCCAAGAAAAAAAAAAAAGCACAATACCAGATGGCTTCACTGATGAATTATATCAAACTTTTAAAGAAAAACTAACATTAATCATTCTCGAAGTATTCAGAAAAAAACTGAAGAAGAGGGAATTTTCCCCTCTAACACATTCTATGAAGCCAGTTTTATTTACCCTGATACCAAAACCAGATATGGATACAAAAACAAAAACACTACAGGCCAATATCTCTGATGACCATGTATGCAACAATCCTCAACAAACTACAAGCAAACCAAATCCAACAGCACATCAAAAAGATTATACACCATGATCAAATAGGATTTATCCTAGGGATGCAAGGATGGTTCAACATATGCAAATCAATAAATGATACATAACATCAACCAAATAAAGGACAAAAACCATATGATCTCAATAGAAGCATAAAAAACTTTTGATAAAATTCAACCCCTTCATAATTGAAAACCCTCAATAAATTATGTAGAGAAGGAATATACCTACCTTAGCATAATAGAAGCAAACCTATAGCTAATATCATGCTGGAAAAAAAAAATGAAAGTGTTTTCTCTAAGAACCAGCCCATGACAAGAATGCCCAATTCAACACTTTTGTTCAGCATAGTACTGGGTATCTTAGCCAGGAGCAATTAGGCAAGAGAAGGAAATTAAGGGCATCCAATTTAAAAGGAGAAAGTTAAATTGTCCCTTTTTTCAGATTACATAATATTGTATGTAAAAAAAAAAATCTTAAAGATTCTACCAAAAACCTCTTAGACCTCATAAACAAATTTATTAAAATTTTAAGATACAAAATCAACACACAAATCAGAAAAATTTATACAAAAATAATAAACTAGCTGAAAAAGAAATCAGGAAAGCAATCTCATTTATGATAGCTATAAAATAAAATAAAATACCTAGGAATAAATTAAACCAAAGTGGTGAAAGGTGTCTGTGATGAAAATTACAAAATACTGATGAAAGAAATGGATGAGTACACTTAAAAATAAAAAGACAAACCATTTTTATGGATTGGAAGAATTCAAATTGTTTAAATATTAATACTACCCAAAGTGATCTATAGATTCAACACAATTCCCATCAAAATATTAATGACATTCTTCACAGAAATAGAGAAAATTTATACAAAACCTTAAAAGACTCCAAATAGCCTAAGAAATCCTGAGCAAAAAGAACAAAGTGGGAGACAACACACTATCTGATTTTAAACCATACTACAAAGCTATTGTAACTAAAACAGCATGGTACTGATATACAAGCAGACACATAGGCCAATGAAATAGAATAAAGAACCCAGAAATGAATATATTTATTTACAGTCAACTGATTTTTGACAAGGCACCAAGAACATACATTAAGGAAAGAACAACCTCTTCAGTAAATGATGCTGAGTAACCTGGATATCTATATACAGAGGAATAAAACTAGTGTCTTATCTCTCACCATATAAAAAACTCAACTCAAATAAATTAAACACTTAAATATGAGAACCTAAACTATAAAACTAATTTAAAAAATAGGAGAAATGCCTGAGTACATTGGTCTAGACAAAAATTTTATGGATAAGACTCCAAAAACACAGGTGAGAAAAGCAAAAATAGGCAAATGGAATAATATCAAACCAAAAACCTCCTGCACAGCAAAAAGAAGCAATCAAAAGAGTGTAGAGACAACTGACAGAATGGGAGAAAATATTTGCAAACTATTCATCTGACAAGGGATTAATATCCAGAATACACAAGGAACTCAAACAACTCAATAGTAAAAATGATTAATAATAATAATAATGGTCCAGTTAAAAAATTGACAAAGGGTTTGAATAGACATTACTGTTAAGAATTCATGCAAATGGTCAATGGGCATATGAAAAAACGCTCAACATCACTAATTGTCAATGAAATGCAAATCAAAACCACAGTGAGTTATCATCTCACCCCACTTAGATTATCTCTTACTAAAAGACAAAAAAATAGCAAATTCTGGTGAGGATGTGGAGGAAAGTCGAATTCTTATACATTGTTGTGAAAATATAAATTTGTACAGCCATTAGGGAAAACAACATGGGCCAGGCAATGTGGCTCACACCTGTAATCCCAGCACTTTGGAAGGCCAAGGCAGGTGGATCACCTGAGGTCAGGAGTTTGAGACCAGCCTGACCAACATGGTGAAACGCTGTCTCTACTAAAAACACAAAAATTAGCTGGGCATGGTGGCCAGGCACCTGTAATCCCAGCTACTTGGGAGGCTGAGGCAGGAGAATCACCTGAACCCGGGAAGCAGAAGTTACAGTGAGCCAAGATAAAGCCACTGCACTCCAGCCTGCGCAACAGAGTGAGACTCCATCTCAAACATAACAAAAAAAAAAAAAAAACAAAACAAAACAACCATGGAGGCTTCTCAAACAAACTAAAAGTAGAACTACCATATTATCCAGTAAACCCATTGCTAGGTATTTATTCAAAGGAAAGGAAATCAGTATATTGAAGAGATATCTACATCTCCATGTTTATTGCAGCAATATTCACAATAGCCAAGATATGGAATTGATTTATGTGTCCAACAATAGATGAATGGATAAAGAAAATGTGAGCTCTACACACAAAAAATGGAATACTCTTCAGCCATAATAACGAAATCTCATCATTCACAGCAACATGGATGAGCCTTTAAGACATTATGTTAGGTGAAATGTCAGGCACAGAAAGATAAATACATGTTCTCACTCACATGTTGGAGCTAAAAAATTTGAGCTCATAGAAATAGAGAGTAGAATTGTGGTTACTGGAGGCTGGGAAGGACAGGGGAAGGATAGGAAGAGGTGGGTTAGCTAATACAAAATTATAGCCAGATAGGAGAAATAAGTTCTAGTGTTCTGTAGCACAATACAGTGACTATAGTTAACATTAATTTACTATATATTTTCAAATAGCCAGAAGAGAGGATTTTGAATGTGTCCAAAATGAAGGAATGATAAATGTTTGAGGTGACAGATATGCTAATTATAATGTGACCACTGCATATTGCATATATGTGTATCAAAATATCACTCTCTACCCCATAAATATGTACACTTATTATGTACCCACCAAAAATAAAATTTAAAAAAAATGAAAAAGGGAAAAAATAAATTTTAACCAATAAATCTATCAAACATAAATTTTATTTTTATTTGGATGCATCATTCCAGACATTTTTATGTAAAAATGAGGGTGTACATACAGCTTAGGAAAATCAGATATGCATTTCAAAAATAAGATTAATATTTTACTTACTCTAAAATTATTTTATATGTATTCTAAAGCCCTCATTTATTAAAGACATGTAATACAAATGTAGAGTTACATTTATATAAACATTTATTTTAAAAATATTGCATATTATATATATAAAATCAGTTTAATGTTTATAATTCATTTTATATAGTGGCTGTTTTTCAAAACAATAAATATATTTTCATAACATGACTGTCAATACTTTTTGAATACAACTTGCTTACATTCAATTCTGTAACTTTTCCTTCTTTCTGAAATTTAAGATTTGAATTTTCTTCCTTCTGATTATTATAATGGAATCATTAACATTTTATTATTATAAATTATTTAATTTAAAATTTTTATAAGTAATGATAGCACCTATCTCATTATCTTTTTAGGATTGATTTACAGGAAAATTTGGTATCATACAACATACACATAAAGCATAAAAGTGAACATTTTTTATCTTAAGATTTCTCCATGGTTCAAACATTATTTTAATCACCATTTTAATGGCCATATATCTGTAAAATTTATCTGTCATCATTTTTTGGAAAGTTTAATTATTGAATATATGGGCCCTTTCATATTTTTAAATCTTTATAATTTTTAGTAAGCATAGTATCACTTTGAAAACAAAAAAAGAATAACAAATAGCCAAAGAGGCTGATATTCAAGAATTAAGGGATGAGGAGAGGTGTAGATTATAAGTGCAAAAGAAAGTGAGAGAAGGGACCAACTCAATGGGATCTGTGATGCTGGGCCGGGCTCCATGATGAAGGCACAACTTGGGTTAAGTATGAAAAATTACACAGAACTTGACAACAATAAAAACTAGTGACAACAGCAATTCAAATGAATAGATACTGAATATATATATGTGTGTGTGTGTGTGTATGTGTGTGTGTGTCAGAATAGAATATAGAAATAGAGAGAATAGAATGGATAATAGAAATAGAATATGGAATGTAAATAGAATGCAGAATAGAAAGTATATTGGTTCTAGATATCATCACAACCTTATAGTAAGTTAATCAGTTAGAAAATTTCTTCAAGTCCCTGAACAGCTCCACGAGGGTTATTTTATCATCTCCTCACTTTATCTATTCCAGAACCTAGCATAGTGCTTGACATGCAGTAGGTTTTCAATGAAGATCTGCTAAATTAATTCCTCCCTGTTTCTTTGCTGTGACACTTATGTAAATCATGTATTGTTTCATCATGAAATTAATTACTTAGTGGCGGTGTATTAACCAGTGTAAGAGCTGAAAATATAAACAATATTTTTTAAAAATTTGTATAGGAATGACTTGATTAGGCTAGAATTTTTTAAATAGAGATTTATATTGCATTCTAAGTTCTGATTTGATTAAATGACGCTTTTGTTTTTTAGCTGTGGCAGATTTTCTCTCCAGATCTCCAGTCTCCTGAATCCTAGTTTTCAAGGCCCATCAGTCCACAGGTATTTCTATGCCACAATTACAGGATCTGCAGGATGAGCAAAGGGAAAGAGGGGCTGGGGAAGGGATGGGGAGCTGAACACATAAAAAGATGGGTAGGGTCACTGCCTTTGGCCTTCATGGTCCCCATACGGGACAAGGCTAAGTCATACTGTACACATGCAGAAGGATTCCAGACACTCAATCTACTATTGCCAAGCAGGAGGAAGCGAGCTATCTGTCCTAAAGGAATTTAGATAACAAAGAAGTAAATAGCAGTCAGAGAAACTGGGGAAGGTTTTGTGGAGAAAGTGTGACCTAATTTTAGTAGGGGGATTATGAAGGATTTGGATAATTAGAAAGCATGTTGAAGACTTCTCGTCTTGAAGGCAAAACACACTCAAAGGCAGAGGGTCTGGAGTGAGAATAGCTTGTGAAGGACAATGAGGCTGCTTCCTACATGGAGTGGAGGCTGCGACAGGGAGCAGGGCAATTCCACAGTGACTATAGAGCCAAATAATTTTCTTAATGAACTCATGCCACTTAATTTGTCCAGCCAAATGATGGTAGAATTCTACTGGGAAAACCGTCTTTGTCTTCATTTCCCTACATGTCCATTGAATAAATAAAAGAATAAATAAATGATTGCTGTCCTCCTAGGTTAGTTTCCAAAGGAGACTAACGTGTGTGTGCGTGTCCGCATGTGCATGTGTGTATGTATTCTAAGTATGCTACTATTGTTCAAAACATTCTGAACCTTTTTCTCAGTGACCATATTCTTTCCAGTATTCTCAACAATGGTGTCGTGTCGTTTAGTTTTTAAGGATGGACTTGATATTGGTAAAAAGGTTTCACATTACATAGTCAAATGTAAGAAAGGGCAAATAAGCTTGATAATGTATGTTTGAATCATCTCGAAGCAACAGTAACCAAATGAGGTGAATCTTCTTGTGTGGTTTGGAAGTGGCTTAGAAATGTGTGGCAATAAAGTACTCCTCAGGGAAAGACCAAGAAAGATAAGGAGGAATTTCTCAGGCTCAGTTACCAAATCCTTACCACATTAATAGCCTCTCCCTACTGACAGTCTCTTAAACGTAGAGACCCCCTTATTTAGACAACTTTGTATTTGAATTCACTTCATCAGAAGAACAAATACAAAATTTGAACAAGAAAGTTAATTTCCTGGGTCCTAATTAGAAAATACGATGTGGGGAAACTTATTTAAGTTCCTGTATTTTGAACTGCACACATATCTGCAAGTTAAATAATTCTGTTATTCACCTACATATTAGATTCTTTCAGCTAAAAGAAATTCCTAATATAAAGTTTTCCATCTTCAACTTCGAGTTTGCACTATTTTAAGGTTTGTAGTAATTCATTCTTGTGTGGTTAAATGTCATTCTCATTGGAAGGTGTCTATGTTTTTAATTTCACTTCTTTCCTGGACTTGGGACTAGGGTATAAAAACAATGGAAACTTTGTTGAAGCTTTTTAAAAAACATATTCCAACTATTTAAGAAATAGAATATTTATGTTAACATATGTTTAATACAGGTAGTGGTTACATATAATGTTATTTTATGTGTTTATGTATACTTGGAATATTTGACAATTATAAATAAAATTATTGGATATAGTGCATTAAAAATACACTTGAAATCCTTAAGAAAAGGAGCACAGACCACAAATTTTGCAAAAAAAGAAATTAATGACTCTTTGCACTATCATTAATACTTTATAAAATCAATTATAAAAAGACTTGTCAATAGAAAGAGATAACTATACAAGCTATCTGCTATGTCACAAAATTCTACCTGGTCACAAAATTCTCAACAATTTATTTGTCGTTGAAAATTAAATCAGCTGCTCCCCTGAGTTATAAGCAAAAGGGTCCTAACTCAAGTTGCTGGAGTCCTCCGCTCCCCCTTAAGGGATCCATCTATGCAAATTCATGCTGCTTAAAAAATAATATCCAAATTCACTAAAGAATACAAGCAAGTTCTCTTAGATATTAAGAAGCTGTATTCAGATGGCTGTTGAACCTGTTTGGATCCTTTCACTAGGAAACTGATTTCCTTATTTACCTATGCCAATATTTTTTCTAGTCATTTGTCATTTACATAACACTAAGCAACCAGTCCTGGGAATGTCCTAAACAACAAAAAAGCCTCTATAACAATTTTTGACACAGGGGATTTCATGGAGAAGTCCGTGTATTCATCAGCGGCAGATTCATTGCACTTTCTGTTTAGCTAGCCATTTCCTAGTGGAACAGTGATGTTTTATTTGGAGAGCAATAGCTACTGGAACAGGAGAGCAGTTGTATTCATGAAGCCAACTATTGGAAAGAATTTCCTTGCTTATTTTTTTCGTGTGTGTGTGTGTTTGTGCTGGTACGTGTGTGTGTTTTTCTTCAAGATCTTGGGTGCAAAATCTACCTTATTTGTTTGCGAGAAATTTGAAAATGTGTCTGGACATGGTTTACATTTGTGATTCTTCTACAGTCACTTTCGTTAATTTAATTACCAGATATATTTTAAACAATTTGATTGGCAGTTTTTACGGCATCAAATTTGTGTTATTATTGCTATTTGTAACCTAACCTAAACCCATCCTGTACCATCACATCCTTACCAAAGAACAATAAAAAAGATTATCTTTTTTTTTTTTTTTTTTTTTTTGAGAAGGAGCCTCACTCTGTCACCAGGCTGGAGTGCAGTAGCACAATCTCAGCTCACTGCAACCTCCGCCTCCAGGGTTCAAGCCATTCTCCTGCCTCAGCCTCCTGTGTAGTTGGGACTACATGACACGTACCACCACGCCCTGCTAATTTTTGTATTTTTAGTAGAAATGAGGTTTCACCATGTTGGTCAGGATGGTCTCGATCTCTTGACCTCATGAACCACTCGCCTCGGCCTCCCAAAGTGCTGAGATTACAGGCGTAAGCCACCATGCTCGTATTATCTTTTTTGAAAAGACAGAAAGAGAGGGTGTGGGAAGGAGAACCTAGTTAAAATAACAACACAACTGTTCCAATAAAATTTTGTTTACTAAGATACATGAGGTGATCGTCTAAGTTCTAACACACCATGTTTTCACATTTCATATCTCTTTTAGATGATTTCATCAGTCATAATAATATAAAATACAGGTTAGCACTTTATTGATGCTGCGCCTTTAATAGATGAATCTTGCAAGCAAACATTAACTTCTGGCCTTTGAGATCACCTTCTCTTTCTCTGACTCACACTCTTGTCTCTTAAGCTATATTTATTTATCTCCACAGAAGAGAAAATGATTGTAATAAAGGGGAACAGTTCCCTCTCTTGATATTTGATTCATTTTTCTCCTCTTGTTCAAGAAAGATGAAATATTTGGAATAATCTGGTATATACTATGATCTCTTATAATTTTGCACTCTTTTTAACTGCACGTGGTGATTAACATGCTTTGATTTATTTTGAAAAGGGATGGTAAAGTTGTTTTTAAGAACAATAGTCTGCCAGAAATATTTTAAGAGCCTTTTGCTATGCTAGAAGGATAAACCATGTCAGGTGTTTCATGGGATTGAAAGATGATCTCCAATCCCTTTTTACTCTTATTTATCCCAATGTTTTTGAATAATCCTTAAGATAATCAAGAAGTTATTAACTGTGCTATTAAATACAGTGCACGAGAGTGACATTCAAATATGAAAGCTACTTTAAAAGAATCACAAAGCAGAAAGTGACCTTGGTTGCCATTTAATCCAAGTCAGAGAGCATTTAAACTCTGCCGGAATAGTTTAACCTCATTCTTAAGATCTCTAGGAAAAAAAAATTATTCATTTTCACAAAGAAACCTATTCAAATGTTACCTTCCCTCAGGGAGGCAAGATGTCCAAATTACACTTTAATACAAAAATGGAATGTTTTTCAGTGATAGTCTTATTAGTAATATTTTGACATCAGTATAGCTACTGGGAAACTGAGGCTGTAGATTAGGGATGCTGGTTTTCAGTTCTCTGAGCATGTGTCTCTTTTTTCACTGAGGTCAAAGTAACACATTTGCAGTCCTGATATACTTACAGGAATAAGACACTAGTAGGGAAATGGGCAGAAAGGTCACTCACAAGCTATTCAAGTGAATTACCAACTTATAAAGGGTGTCATTTATATTAAAATCCCTTTAGTATTTTGAGAGGCAGTCATCATATTATCATGGTCAGTTATTTGCAGCTCTTGGATTTTTTCATACAAAAGCATATACTGAAGACTCAGTCTGGTGACATAAAACAGAGTCTGATATTTTTAAAATCTGTACTGTGCATGTCAGATTAACTTGACATAGTTGCTAAATACAAGTATTTTTTTATAGAAAGTGACTAAGAAGCTTTACTCAAAAAGTCACAGTGATTCCTCAGAACCATTCAGGTCTGCTAATGGTCCCCCTCAAAAATTATTAGTAATAGTCTTGATAATCATTAAAACTCTGTTGCAAATAAGTTTGAAAAGATACTCAATATCATATGTCACTAGGGGATTGTAAATTCAAACAACAATGAGATAGACACTACTAAATACCTGACAGAATGATTAAAATCTAAAACACGGACAACACCAAATGCTGACAAGGATGTGGAGCAGTAGGAACTGTCATTTATTGCTGGTGAAAATACAAAATAGTACAACCACATAGGAAATTGTTTGGCAGTGTCTTACAAAACTAAACATACCCTTACTGTATGATTTAGCTGTCACATGTCATAGTATTTGCCCAAATGAGGTGAAAACTTAAGTCCGCACAAAAACCTTCCACAGATGATTATAGAAGTCTCATACTTAGTTGCTATAACTTGAAAATAATCAAGATGTCCTTCAGGAGCTGAACGGATACATAAATTATGGTACATCCATACAATGGAATATTATTCAGTTGAAAAGGAAATGAGCCATGAAATCAAGTCATGAAAAGACATGAAAGAAACTTACATGCATATTCCTAAGTGAAAGAAGCCAAACTGAAACAGTTATATACTGTAATATTCCAAGTATATGACATTATTGAAAAGGCAAAACAATGGAGTCAGGGTTCAGAGGGAAGGCAGGAGGAATGAATAGGCAGAACACAGGGGATTTTTAGGGCAGTAAAACTATCATGTATAATACTGAAATAGATATATGTCATTGTACATTTGTTAAAACACAAAGAACTGTACAACACAAAAAGTGAGCCTTAATGTAATCTATGGACTTTAGTCAATAATAATATGTCAATATTGGCTTAACAAATGTTCCACACAAATCCAAGATGTTAATAATAAGGAAAATTAAAGGTTATGGGAGAAGACTATATGGAAACTCTGCACTTTCTTCCTAATTTTCCTCTAAGCATAGAACTGCTCTAAAAAATTAAGTAACAAGGAGGTAGAGCAAGATGGCAGGATAGAAGGCTTCACCAATAGTTTCCCTCACAAGGGCAACAAGTTAACTACTACCTACACAGAAAAATACACCTTCATAAGAATCAAAAATCAGGTGAGCATTCACAGTACCTGGTTTTAACTCCATATTGCTGAAAGAGGCAGAGAAGAGATAGAAAAAAACAGTTCTGAATGGTTGACGCCACCATCCTCTACCCCTGGGCAGTGACAGTGTGTTGCAGAGAGCATCTCTGGGTGCTGGGGAGGGAGAACACAGCTATTGTGAGGCACTGAACTCAGTGCTGTCCTGTTAGAGCACAAAGGAAAACCAGACCAAATTCAGCTGACACGCCCATGAGGGGAGCATTTAAACTGGCCCTAACCAGAGGGGAATCACCAATCCCAGTGGTCCGAGCTTGATTCCCTCAAACCTTGCCACCACAGGCTACGGCACTCTGTGTCTCCAGGCAAACTTGAAAGGCAGTCTAGGCCATAAAGACTGCAACTCTTAGATGAGTTCTAGTTTTTCACTAGGCCCAGAGACAGTTTACTCAGAGGGCATGCAACATACAGAGACACCAGCTGGGGCAGCTAAAGGAGTGCTGGCATCCCACCTCCTGACCCTCAGGTTGCAGAGCTCCCAGCTCCAAAAGACACCCCTTCCTTCTGTGTGAGGAGAGGCGAGGGAGGAGTAGGGAGGATTTTGTCTTGCATCTTGGATACTAGCTCAGCCACAGCAAGATAGGGCACCAGCTAGAGTCATGAGGCCCATGTTCCAGACCCAAGCTCCCAGACAACATTTCTAGACATACCTTGGGCCAGAAGGAAACCCAGTGCCTTGAACGAAAGGGCTTCATCCTGGCAGTATTCCTCACCTGCTAACCGAAGAACCCCTGAGCCCTAAATAATCAGCCATGATACCCAAGTACTACATAGAGGGTCTTGGGTGAGCCTATGAGACTTGCTGGCTTCAGGAAGCAGCATAGCCACAGGGTGATAGAGCACCAAGCAGACTCTTTGGGTCCCTGAGTCTAGGACTTGACTCTTGAAAAGCATTTCTGGACTAGCTGTGGGCCAGAGGGGAGCCCACTTCCCTGAAGGGTGAGTCTCAGGCCAGGCAGCATTCACAATAAGCTGATTTAAGAGACCTTGGGCTTTAAGGGAACATCAGCATTAGTCTGGCAGTACTCTTCATGGCCTGGGGTGGCAGTGGCTACCAGGTGAGGCTCCTCCACCTTTGGAAAGGTGAGGGAAGAATGGGAAAAACTGCCTCTTATGGTGTATGGTACCAGGGACCAATCCTGGAGAATCAGACATATATAACCATTCAGACAGATAATTCAAAATAGCCATTTTGAGAGAACTCAAAGAAATTCAAGATAACATACAGAAGAAATTAAAATTCTGTCAGATAATTTAACAAAGAGATGGAAATAATTTTTAAAATATCGAGCAGAAAAACTGGAGCTGAAAAATAAAATTGGCATACTGAAGAATCCATGAGAACCCTTTGATAGCAGAATTGATTAAGCAGAATAAAGAATTAGTGAGCTTGAAGACAGACTATTTGAAAATACACAGTCAGAGGAGACAAAAGTAAAAAGAATAAAAAACAATGACGTATGGATACAAGATCTAAAAAAAAAAAAAGCCTCAAAAGGGCCAATCTAAGAGTTATTGAACTTAAAAAGGATGTAGAGAAAGAGACAGGGTTAGAAAGTTTATTCAAAGAGATAATAACAGAGAGCTTCCCAACCCTATAGAAAGATATCACCATCCAAGTACAAGAAGGTCATAGAACACCAAGCAGATTTAACCCAAAGAAGACTATAACTGAAGGCATTTAATAATCAAACTCCCAAAAGTCAAGGACACACAAAGGGTCCTAAAAGCAGCAAAAGAAACAAATAACATACAATGGAGGTCCAATACATTTGGAAGCTGGCTTCTCAGTGGAAACCTTACAGGCCAGGAGAGAGAAGCATGAAATATTTTAAGTATTGAAGGGAAAAACTTTTACACTAGAATAGTATATCCTGTGAAACTATCCTTCAAACATGAGGGAGAAATACTTTCCCAGACAAACAAAAGCAAGGGATTTCTTCAATACCAGGCATGTCCTGCAAGAAATGCTTAAGTGAGTACTTCAATCAGAAAGAAAAGGATATTAATGAGCAACAAATAATCACTTGAAGACATACAATTTACTGATAATTGTAAGTACACAAGAAAATAGAATATCATAATACTGAAACTATGGTGTGTATACTACTCTTTTCCTAAGTAGAAAGACTAAATGATGAACTAATAAAAATAATAACTACAACAACTTTTCAGGATATAATCAACACAATAATATAAACAAAACAACAAAAAGTGAAAAAGTTGAGGGACAAAGATAAGGCATAGGATTTTTATTAGTTTGCTTTTTCCTTGTTTGTTTGTTTACACAAATAGTGTTAAATTGTTATCAGGTTAAAATAATTGGTTATAAGATAGTACTGGCAAGCCTTGAACCAAAAAACATACAATGTATATATAAAAAATAAAAAATAAGAATCTAAATTATATAACCAGAGGAAATCACCTTTACTAGAAGAAGACAGGAAGGAAAGAAAGAAGGAAGGGAAGACCATAAAACACCAGAAAATAAATAACAAAATGGCAAAAGTAAGTCCTTACTTATCAATAATAACATTAAATATAGATGGACTAAACTCTCATATCAAAAGACATACAGCAGCTGAATAGAAGAAAAATCAACACCCGTAGATCTGTTGCCTACAAGAAACACACTTCACCTATAAAGGCACACCTAGACTGAAAATAAAGAAATGGAAAAAGATATTCCATACCAATGGGAAACAAAAAAGAACAGGAGTCACTATACTTATATCATACAAAATAGATTTCAAGACAAAAACTATTAGAAGAGACAAAGAAGGTTACTATATAATGATAAAGGGGTCAATTCAGCAACAATTTTAAATATATATGCAAACAAAACTGGAGCACCCAGATATATAAAGTGAATATTATCAGAGCTAAAGAGAGAGATAGGCCCCAATACAATAGTAGCTGAAGACTTCAACACTCTACTTTCAGCATTGGACAGATCATCAAGAAAGAAAATAAACAAAGAAACATCACACTTAATCTGCACTATATACCAAATGGATCCAATAGATATTTACAGAATATTTTATCCAAGAGCTGCAGAATACATATTATTTTCCTCAGCACATAAATCATTCTCAAGGATAGACCATATGTGAGGTCACAAAATAAATCTTAAAACATTCAAAAAATTGAAATAATGTCAAGCATCCCCTCTGACCATGATGGAATAAAACTAGAAATTAATATCAGCAGGAATTTTGGAAATTACACAAATAGCTGGAAATTAAATAATATGCTCCTGAATAGCCAGTGGCTCAATGAAGAAATCAAGAAAGAAATTGAAAAATTTCTGGAAAAAAATGATAATGGAAGCACAACATACCAAAACCCATGGAATATAGCAAAAGCAGTACTAAAAGGGAAGTTTATAGCTATAAGTGCCTATATACAAAAGAGGAAAAACTTCAAATGAACAATCTAATGATGCACCCTTAAAAACTAGAAAAGTAAGAGCAAACCAAACCCAAAATTAGGAGAAGGAGAGAAATAACAAATATCAGAGCAGAAATAAATGAAATTGAAATGAAAAAACAATACACAAGATCAATGACACAAAAAGTTGGTTTTCTGAAAAGTTAAAAAAAAACCTGACAAACCTTTAGCTAGACTAAGAGCAAAAGAGAGAAGATCCAAATAAAATCAAAAATGAAAAAAGAGACATTACAGCTGATACTACAGAAATTCAAAGGATCATTAGTGGCTATTATGAGAAACTATATACCAATAAATTTGAAAATCTAGAAGAAATGGACAATTTCCTAGATACATACAACCTGCCAAGATAGAACCAGGAAGAAATCCAGAACTTGAACAGACCAGTAACAAGCAATGGAATTGATAAAAAGACTCCTACAAAAGGAAAGCCTGAGACCTGATGGCTTCACTGCTGAATTCTACCAAACATTTAAGGAAGAACTAATACCAATCCTACTCAAACTATTCTGAAAAATATAAAAGGAGGGAACACTTCCAAACCCATTATATGAGGCAGGTATTACCCTGATACCAAAACCAGACAAAGATACATGAACAAAAAAGAAAGTTGAAATTAAGAAGAAAATTGAAAAATTTCTTGAAACGAATGTATAATGGAAACACAACATACAGAAACCTATGGAATATAGCAAAAGCAGTACTAAGAGGGAAGTTTGTAGCTATAAGTACAAAAGATCTACAGGCCAATATCTCTGATGAATATTGATGCAAAAACCCTCAACAAAATACTAGCAAACCGAATTCAACAATACATTAGAAAAATTATTCATTGTGACCAAATGGGATTTATCCCTGGGATGCAAGGATGGTTTCAACATATGCAAATGAAACCAATGTAATATGTCATATCAACAGAATGAAGGATAAAAACCATGTGATCATTTCAATTGATGCTGAAAAAGCATTTAATAAAATTCCACATCCCTTCATGATAAAAACCCTCAAAAAACTGCAGCTAGAAGGAACATAACTCAGCATAATAAAAGCCATACATGACAGACCCACAGCTAGTAACATACTGAATAGAGGAAAACTGAAAGCCTTTTCTCTGAGATCTGGAACACTACAAGCATGCCGACTGCCACTACTGTTATTCTACATAGTATTGGAAGTTCTAGCTAGAGCAATCAGACAAGAGAAAGATATAAAGAAAGTCCAAATTGGAAAGGAAGAAATAAAATTATCCTTGTTTACAGATGACATAATATTATATTTGGAAAAAAACTAAAGACTCTACAAGGAAACTATAAGAACTGGTAAACAAATTCAGTAAAGTTGCAGGATACAAAAGCAACATACAAAAATGAGTAGCATTTTTAAACACCAACAGTGAACAATGTGGAAAAAAAAGTAATCCCACTTACAATAGCCACATATAAAATTAAATACTTAGAAAGTAGCCAAAGAAGTGAAAGATTTCTATAATGAAAACCATAAAACATTCATGAAAGAAATTGAAGAGGACACCAAAAAAATGGAGAAATATTCCATGTTTATTGATTGGAAGAATCAATATTGTTAAAATGCCCATATTACCCAAAGCAATCTACAGATTCAATGCAATCCCTATCAAAATATCAATGTTATTCTTCACAGAAATAGAAAAAAAATCATAAAATTTATATGCAACCACAAAAGGCCCAGAAGAGCTTATCCTAAGCAAAAAAAAAAGAAAAAAGAAAACTGGAAGAATCGTGTTACATGACTTTAAATTATACTGCAGAGCTATAGTAACCAAAGCAGCATGGTACTGCTATAAACAGAGACATATAAACCAATGGAACATAATAGAGAACCTAGAAACAAATCCACACACCTATAGTGAACTCATTTTCAACACAAGTGCCAAGAACATACACCAGAGAAAAGACAGTCTCTTCAATAAATGGTGCTGGGAAAACTGAATATCCACATGCAGAGGAGTGAAATTAGACACCTATCTCTCACCACATACAAAAATCAAATAAAAATAAATCAAAGACTTAAATCTAACATTTCAAACTATGAAACTGCTACAAGAAAACATTGGGGAAATTCTCCCAGACATTGGTCTGAACAAAAGTTTCTTGAGCAGTACCTCACAAGCACAGGCAACCAAAGCAAAAATGGACAAATGGGATCACATCAAGTTAAAAAGCTTCTGCATGGCAAAGGAAACAATTGAAAAGGTGAAGACATAACGCACAGAATGGGAGAAAATATTTATAAACTACCCATCTAACAAGAGATTAATAACCAGAACATATAAGGAGTGCAAACAACTCTATTGGAAAAAAAATCTAATAATCCAATCAAAAGGTGGGCAAAATGTTTGAATAGACATTTCTCAAAAGAAGACATACAAGTGGCAAACAGGCATATGAAAATGTGCTCAACATCACTGATCATCAGAGAAATGCAAATCGCAACTACAATGAGATATCATCTCACCCCAGTTAAAATGTGTAACATCCCAAAGACAGGCAATAACACATACTGACAAGGATTTGGACAAAAGGGAAACCTGCACACTGTTGGTGGGAATGTAAATTAGTACAGCTACTATAGAGAACAGTTTGATGATTACTCAAAAGACTAAAAATTGAGTTTCTATATGATCCAGCAATCCCACTGCTGAGTATATACCCAAAAGAAAAGAAATCAGTCTATTGAATAGATGTATGCACTCCTGTCTTTGTTGGAGCACTGTTTACAATAGCTAAGATTTGGAAGCAACCTAAGTGTCCATCAACATATGAAGAGATAAAGGAAATGTGGTACATATACATAATGGAATATTATTTGTCCGTAAAAAAAAATGAGATCCAGTCATTTGCAACAACATGGTTGGAACTGGAGGTCATCGTATTAAGTGAAATAAGCAAGACACAGAAAGACCGCATGTTCTCACTTATTTGTGGGATCTAAAAATTAAAACAATTGAACACTTTAACATAGAGAACAGAGGAATGGTTACCAGAGGCTGGGAAGGGTAGTTGGGGGCTAGGGGAAGGTGGGGATGATTAATGATTACAAAAAATATTTAGAAAGAATGAATAAGACCTACTATTTGATAGGACAATTGGCTGACTATAGTTAATAATAACTTAATTGTACAGTTTAAAATATGTTGATGAGTATAATTGGATTGTTTGTAACTCAAAGGATAAATGCTTTCTACATGATGTGCTTATTTCACATTGCATGGTTGTATCAAAACATCTCACATACCCCATAAATATATACACCTATTATGTACCCACAAAAATTAAAAATAAAATAATTATGTAAAAATAAAATAAATGAAGGAAAAACAAACTAAGGTGCAACGATCACATCTCTGAATTAGTTATTTATAAGGCAAAGATTGCTTATTAATATCTTTTTAACAATGTGTCCACATTACTCTCACCAGGGTTTCAGAACTTCAGAGGTAGGGACTCTATTAAAACTAATATTGCAAGTCACAATATTCTCAAAAAAAAAAATCAACTAGGAGGAATCATTTGGTATCAACTTAAAGCAGATTTCTGGGAAGATTAGCCAACACAATTTGGTATTTTCAAGTAATTCAGTATTCACCATGCTGTGTGAATCCGCTGGCAAACAAAAATAATTCTGCTATGTTACTAAGCGTTAACATATCGATAGGTAACATTGCAATTCAAGGTGGTGAAGAAATTATTAAATAGTTAATAGCATTAAGGATGCATATGTTTACTCATTTTACAACATAAATCCTATCCTTTGAATTTTTATACAAGTAAAGGACGATGAAAATTACATAGAACTAGACAATTGTAAGTTCTTCTCATTATAATAATTACATACAATATCTAGAGGTTAAATTGACTGAGCAGCGTTGATATAATGTTGAGCCATTAAGATATCTCTCCTTCTAGCATGAAATAAATAGCAAAGCGTTAGTAACTTAGCTGTGGGAGAGTGACATCAGAGGTTGAGTAGGATATCCCAGCTTTCCTTCCCCCTACAAAGAGCAACAATTTAGCAGCTATCCATGAGGGAAAGCAACCCTGGAAGAGCTCAAGAGTTCCCTTTGGAAAAAACAAAAATACCTCACCAGAATAATCATGAAAAAAAATGAAGAACAGTTTCATTTTGCCTGCATCACCCCATTTTCCAGGCCAGCACTGCTCAACATGGTGAGGGATCTGCCTGACTTGCCAGCGTCTCTCGCAAGGAAAAGGAGAGTAAGGAGAACAACCAGCTCACTCAGCTGTTTGGGGCACTGCCCAAATAATTACCTTCATTTCCGTTGAGATCACTGGGGAGACTAACATAGCTGAGACATGGAGAGACAGCTGGGAAGAAACAGGGGCTATCAGTATCAGCCATGTGGCGGGAATCACTGCAGTCCCCAGTGGTCTGCTCTGCACCGTACTACTGCAGACTTTCGCACTGAGGAACTAAGCAACCTCATGGCCACTGTTTACTCCCCATAGCTTTCACAACTGTGGACCCTGATAGTGGTCACTGTCACAGACCTCAGCATCTTGCTCCACTGAGAACTCCAGCACTGAGGAAACCAATAGCCAGCACAGGCACAGCGGACTCCTTGCAGCTTTTACCTTCCAAGGGCCTGGAATATTCTTCCTGACTCCCACCACTGTGCTTGCACCCACAACTCGCTCCTTTAGTTAAATGAGTATGCACACCCCCAGCTCAGGCCCTCAGCTGCCCTAGCATGCACAGGTGACCAGGCCCCTACTGCCAGACCTCAGCTATTCCCTGCAACCATGCAGGTATATGCTGTAAGCCACCCCCATGCCACACCACAGGTACTCCTGCAGTTCATCTTGGCCATTGCCCCTGGCCCTCACCCATGCCATCATGCATAAACCTGTAGCTGATTCCCGTCACCATGCACATGCCAGCAGCTGGCCCATATCTGAGCATGTGCACACCACTGGCTCTGGTCCCCACTGTTGTCTGCCCTGGCCTTGTGCTTGTGCTGCTAGGCCCAGAAGCACTGCTGAGGCTCCTAACACTCCTTTAGCTACCACTAATCTCCCACAGCTCTTGCCAGCAAGGACCACACAGTTGTTTATGTTGTGAACCCCATCTTCCTGAGTTGATGAGACACTGACCTATCTCCCCCTATCGGACCTTGCGCTGCAGATGAAGGTTTTTCCTTCCCAAAGCCAGTTTATCAAGTCTGGAAGAGAGGGCTGCTTCTTCAAATACAGACACTCTCACAAGGCTTTAAGGATCACAAAAAATTAGATATAAAAAATGACACTGTTAAAAGAACATAATAAACTTCTGGTGGCCAACCCCAAATAACTGGAGATCCTCTAATTTCCAAACAAATAATTCAAAATAATTTTTCTAAAGAAGCTCGGCAAACTAAAAAACAACAGCTAAACAATTAAACGATATCAAGAAAACAATACAAAAACAAAACAGGAAGCTCAACAAAAAGATATAAAACATGAAAAACCGAAATTTCAAAACTGAATACTACAATGACTAAACTAAAAAATACAATAAAGGGCTTCCACAATAGAACAGATCAAGCAGAAGAAAGAATAGAAAACCCAAAGACGTTATTTGAAATTGTACAGTAAGAGGAGAAAAAAAAAGAATAAAAAGGAATCAAGAAAACCTATGATACCTGTGTAAAATCATCAAGAAAGTGAAGTTCTCACAACAGGATATTCAGAAGAAGAAGAAGGTGAGAAAAGGACAGAATGCCTATGTAAAGAAATAGTAGGTAAAGGCTGGGCGTTGTGGCTCACGCCTGTAATCCCAGCACTTTGAGAGGCCAAAACAGGTGGATCACGAGATCAGGAAATCAAGATCATCCTGGCTGACATGGTGAAACCCTGTCTCTACTAAAAATACAAAAAAATTAGCCGGGCGTGGTGGCGGGCACCTGTAGTCCCAGCTGCTTGGGAGGCTGAGACAGGAGAATGGTGTGAACCCAGGAAGCAGAGCTTGCAGTGAGCTGAGATTGTGCCACTGCACTCCAGCCTGGGCGACAGAGGGAGACTCCATCTAAAAAAAAAAAAAAATAGTAGGTAAAAATGTCTACAAAATGGGGAAACATTCAGGTACCTAAAGCTCAAAGGTCTCTAATAAAATGTAACCAAAGATTTCACCAAGAAACATTAGAATCAACAGCGAATTATCAAAGTTAAAGAGAGAATGTTGAAAGCAGTAAAAGAAAGGAAGCATATCACATACAAGGGAATGATAATAACACTATCAATGGATTTCTCAGCAGAAATCTTACAGGACAGGAGAGAGTGGGATGATATATTCAAAATGTTGAAAGGAAAAAAAAAACTCACAACAAAGAATACTTTACCTGACAAAACTGTCCTTTAGAAATGATGAGAAAACAGGATTTTCCCAGGCAAAAATAAAGTTGATGGAATTTATAACCACTAAACCTGCTTTACAAGAAATGCTAAAGGGAGATTTTCAAAATGAAATGAATGCTGCTAATTAATAAATAACACGGAAACATGTGAAAGTATAAAACTCACTGGTGAAGGTAGATAAATAGTTAAATTCAGAGTACTCTAATACTGTAATGGTAGTATGTAAACCACTTATAACTCTACTATAATGGTTAAAGGACAGATGCATGAAAGTAACCATAACTGCAATAATTGTAAGAGTTACACAATATAAAGTTGTATGCTGTGACATCAAAAACAAAATGCGGGGCAACACAATAGTAGAACTTTTGTATCCAATTAAAGTTAAGTTGTTATCTACTTAAAATCAACTGTCATAACTACAAGATGTTTTACATAAGCCTCATGGTAACCACAAGGCAAAAACTGACAGTATATACACAAAAGATAAAGAGAAAAAAATTCAAAGCATACCACTACAGAAAACCATCACATTGCAAAGGAAAACAGCAAAGATAAAAAAAGAAAAATGAAATAGAAAAAAAAACCCAAATAATAAACAAAATGGCCTGGAGAATGGCGTGAACCCAGGAGACAGAGCTTGCAGTGAGCCGAGATCACGCCACTGCACTCCAGCCTGGGTGACAGAGCAAGACTCCATCTTTAAGATTTAAAAAAAATTACTTTAAATGTAAATGAACTACATTCATCAATCAAGAAATATAGAATAGCTGAATGGATTAATTTAAAAATCAGGGCCCAACTGTATGCTGACTCCAAGAAACTTCCTTCAATTTTAAGGACACACACAGACTGAAAGTAAAGGACTGGAAAAAGATATTTCATGCAAATGGAATGAAAAGAGTGCAGTGGTAGCTATATTTACATCAAACAAAACAGACTTTAACTCAAAAACTGTAAAAAGAGACAAAAAGGGTCATTAGATAATGATTAAGGAGTCAATTCATCAACAGCACATAAAAATTGTAAATATGTATGACCCAACATTGAAGCACTAAAATATATAAAGCAATTATTACACGATTTTGAAGGGAGAGATAGTCCACAATACAATAATAATAGAGGACTAGTCCACTTTAAACAATGGACAGATTATCCAGAAAGAAAATCAATAAGGAAACATTGGACTTGAGTTACATGTTAGACTAAATGAACATAATAGACACATACAGAACATTTTATCTAACAGTAGCAGAATATACATTATTCTCAAGTGCACATGGAACATTATCCAAGATAAATACTATGGCAGGCCACAAAACAAGTCCTAACAAACTTAGGACAACTTAAATCATATCAAGAATCTCTTCAGGCCACAACAGTAAGAATCAATAATAGTAGGGACCCAGAAAAATTCACAAGTATGAGGAAATTAAATAACATATTCTGGAACAATCAATGGGTCAAAAAAATCAAAAGGGAAACAAAATAAATCTTCAGGTGAATGAATATGAAAATACAACATACTAAAACCTATAGAATGCAGCAAAGCAGTTGTAAGAGGGAAGATTATAGTGATAAATGTCTACAGTAAAAAAGAAGAAAATTCTTAAATTAACACCCTAAAATTACAACTCAAGGAACAAGAAGAACAAACTAAATCTAAAGTTAGCAAAGGGAAGAAATAATAAAAATAAGAGCAGAAATAAATACAGGATAGAAAAAACTATTAAAAAATCAACAAAATTGAGTTAGCCTTTTTGAAAAAATAAACAAAATGTGTAAACCCTTAGCTAGACTATGAAAAAAGAGAGAAGACTCAAATAAATAAGGTCAGAAATGAAGGTACAGACATTACAACTGACATCTCAGAAATAAAAAAGGGGTATAAGTGACTATTGTGAACACTGATGTACCATCAAAATGGATACCCTAAAGGAAATGGATAAATTCCTAGAAACATACAACCTACCACAATTAAATCAAGGTAAAACATAAAGCCTGGACAGACTGATAACAAATAAAGAGACTGAAATAATGATTTAAAATGTTAAAAATGATTTTCCAGGCCAGGTGCAGCGGCTCACACCTGTAATCCCAGCACTTTGGGAGGCCGAGGTGGGTGGATCACAAGGTCAGATCGAGACCATCCTGGCTAACATGGTGAAGCCCCGTCTATACCAAAAATACAAAAAAATTAGCCGGGCGTGGTGGTGGGTGCCTGTAGTCCCAGCTACTCAAGAGGCTGAGGCAGGAGAATGGCATGAACCCAGGAGGCGGAGCTTGCAGCGAGCTGAGATTGTGCCACCGCACTCCAGCCTGGGCAACAGTGCAAGACTCCATCTCAAAAAAAAAAAAAAGATTTTCCACAAAAGAAAAGCCTGGGACCAGATGGCTTTGTGATGGAATTCTGCCAAGAATTCAAAAAATTACTATCAATTTTTCTTAAATTCTATCAATGCAAGTAGAGGGAATACTTCTAAGCTTATTCTATGAAAACATCATCACCCTGAAACCAAAGCCAAACAAAGCCACCACAAGAAAAGAAAATGGCAGGACAATGTCACTGATAAATACAGAAATCCTCAATGAAATACTAGCAAACTGAACTCCACACATGTAGAAGATTATACATCATGATCAAGTGGGATTTATCTCTGGAATGCTAGGTTGGTTTGACATCCACAAATCAATCAATGTGATATATCACATTAACAGAATGAGAAAGAGTGACAACCTGACAATCACAAAAGATGCAGAGAAGGCATCTGACAAAGTTCAACCTAAAATTTTTCAACTTATTAAATCTAGAAGGAAATGTCCTCAACATAATAAAGGTCATAAATGAAAAGCCCACAGCTAACATTATAATTAAATACTAAAAGCTTTTTATCTAAAATCCAGTACAATGCAAGGATGCATATTCTTACCATTTCTATTAAACATAGTACTGGAAGTGCTAGCAAGAGCAATTAGAGAAGAAAAAGAGATTTAAATGTATCCAAATTCGAAAGGAGGAAGTAAAATTCTTCCTATTTGCAGAAGACATGATCCTGTATGTAGGAAATTAGATTCCATTTAAAAAAACTGTTAGAACTAATAAATGAATTTAGTAAAATTGCAGGATACAAAATCAAAATACAAAATATTAATTGTATTTCTTTACATCTATAATGATCTATCCAAAAAGGAAATCAATAAATCAGTCCCCTTTATGACAGCACCTAAAGAACAAAATACTTAGGAATATATTTAACCAAGGAGGTAAAAGATCTGTACACTAAAAACAATAAGACATTGATAAAAGAACTGAAGAATACACAAATAGATGAAAAGATATACATGTTCATGGGTTAGAAGAATTAATGTTGTTAAAATATCCGTATGATACAAACAGATATAACTGGTTTAATCCAATCCCTATCAAAATTCCAAAATACTCTAAAATTCATATAGAACTACAAAAGATCCCAATTAGCCTAAACAATCTTAAGTAAGAAAAATACTTACTTAAGATTGCATTAACTATTGTGGCATTGCACTGCCTGATTTCAAATTATGTTATACAGCTACAATAATTAAAACAGAATGATGCTGGCATGAATACAAATATCTAGACTGAATAAAGAGCCTAGCCAGGTATTCTTCAACAAGGGCACCAAGAATACATGTGGGGAAAGGAAATTCTCTTCAACAAACAGTGTTGGGAAAACTAGACATTCACATGCAGAAAACATGAAATTGGACCCTTGTACCATACACACATATCAACTCAAAGTAGATTAAAGATCTAAAAGTAAGACTTGATGCCTTAAAACTCCTCAAATAAAATGTAGGGGTAAATCTCCTTGACAATGGCCTTGGCCATGATTTTTGAGGTATTACACCAAAAGTTTGATATGCAGAATAAGAGAAAATATTTGCAACTATACATCTGATAAAGGGTTAATATTAATATCCAGAATATACAAGGAACCTACACCACTCAATAGCAAGAAAATAAATAACCAAACTAAAAAATGGAAAAATGACCTGAATAGAAATTTTTCCAAATCACACATAAAAAAATAACCAATAGACATATTAAAAGGTGTTCAACATCACTAATCATCAGGGAAATGCAAATCAAAACCACAGTGAAATATTACTTCACACCTGTTAGGATGGCTATAATTATAACAATAAGAGATAAGTGTTGGTGAGGTTGTGGACAAAAAGGAAACCTAGTACACTGTTAGTAGGAATGTAAATTGGTACAATCATTGTGGAAGACAGTACAGAGGATCCTCAAAAATTTGAAAGTTGAACTACCATCTGACCCAGCATCCCTCCATTGGTTATATACTCAAAGAACTTAAATAAGCACATAATCAAGTTATCTGCACTCTCATATTCATTGCAGCATTATTCACGACAGCCAAGATGTGAGAAAAACATAAGTGTCCCTTGATGGATGAATAGATAAAGAAATTGAGATACACACACACACACACACACACACACACACACACACACACAGTAATTTTTCAGCCTTTAGAAAGAAGGAGATCCATTCGCGATAATATGAATGATGTACCTGGAGGACATTACGCTAAGTGAAATAAGCCAGGCACAGAAAGACAAATACTGCATAATGACACTTACATGCAAAATGGAAAAAAAGTGAAATTATTAGAAATAAAGGGTATAACAGTGGTTACCAGGAGCAGGGATGACAGAAATGGAGAGATGTCTCTCAAAAGTTATAAAGTTGCAGTTATATAGAATGAGTAAGTCTGGAGATCTAATGCACAGCCTGAGGACTACTGTTAACAATATTGTATTACATAATGGAAATTTGCTAAGAGTAGATTTCAAGTACTCTTACCACACACAGACACACACACACACACACACACACACTTAAAAGAACTCTGCTGGCTATACTGTCTAGGGTTTATGTAAAATAATATTAAAAGGAAGCAGGTTGAGAAAAGCTCTCAAGCGTCTCTCTCTATCTCAGTGTTATTTTCCCCTCAGCCTTTAGTCATGGAAACAATGACTTTCAAAACCCCCGTGTTTTGTTTTATTTTGCTTTGTTTTCCTATTTCTATACTTGCTCTGACAGATTTTAATGTGATGTCATATGATGTAATATAGGTGAAATATTAAGAATTTATCAAAAATGAAAAAGAAAAAAGAAACTTAGCAGTGTTAATATTGAATGCTTAAATATACCTATTAAGAACTTGCCAGAGCCACAATGTAAGGGAAACAGTTATTTTCTGGGCATTGCAACTGCCACAGTGAAGCCTTCGGATTTTCTATACCCACTAGTATAATTCAAAGACTCCTGACAAAAGGCTGTGCCAATATTCATTAAGATAGTTAACTAAAAGCAGTACGTTTTATAAGCCAGTAAGAGCACGGTGGTTAATGTTAGCAATTGTTTTGCCTTTTTAGTTGATTTATTCACTTAACAAATACGTATTGAAGCTTTCATATTATGTTCCAGATAATGTTCTAGAAAATTGCAGTTAATCTGCGAAGAAACATAGATGACATTTGCATTCTAGATTTTCAATTCTAGTTGTTGAGGTTTTCTGCCGCAGGAACTTAAAGTGGGATTAAACTCAACATGCTTTTAGCTTCATAAAGAAGACCTATTTTTGAAAATAACCTCATACCCTACCTTTTCAGAAAGTCAACCACAGAGTCTTCTACGCGTGTCTACAAACGGAAGAAACAGAGGAATGAAAGAGAGAAAAAACAAAACAATAATAAGACAAAAAAGGAAATAACACATTAACTTAAGGAAAGAGAAACATGAGACTAATTTTCTTGTAAAATATTATACAAAATACATAATTTTCTTATAAAACACATTGGAAATGCATTCTTCTCTGAGGGCTTACTCTGTGTTAGACATTACATGAGGTCTCGGGATCAAACAGTGTGAAAAACATAATCTGCAACCTCATGGAGGACACATTCAGGGGAGAAAACAGGTATTCGTCATAGAAAAATATGAATCTATAAATATAAGCTGCAAACCATCATATTAAAAAATGTACAGGGAACTGGGCAGAAAGACTTCCCTGCCAAAATGACATTTGAACTAAGTTCATGAGGATGGGAAAGAGAGGAGGTGACACATTTCAAGCAAAGGAAATAGCAAATGCAAGACTCAGAGGTGGAGTATAACAAAGTTGTAGCAGGAGGAAGTTCAACTGGAGTGTTGAAATAAAAAGAAGACAAATGAACTCAAAAAGTGAACTTAGTTTTTTGATGATACACTCAAAAATTGAAAGTATTTAATGGATAGAGAGTAGAAATGTTTTCATAAGTGTTACTCTACTTTCTATACATTTTCTTTTTATTTATTATTTTCCTACAATCTGGGAAGTAACGAACATTTGCACTCACAGTTCTCTCATTGGTTTATCAATTACCTTAGTGATAACCAATTTCGTCACATGCATGTCCTGATTCCAGATTCATATTTTGAAAAATGCTGATTGTTAGAGTAAGCCATCTTATAAAGGCACCTACTTCCGGTTTAGGTGGCAGTAGTAGAATTTTTATTTTACTAGTATTTACAAATTAAAATCTTCGTTCAAAAAAATTATAATGTCTACATGGCAATCATGTGCCTGCATATACTTATGCATATGGAAAAATGGGGAATTAGAGCTTGAGAAAGTGGTTGATCCTTCGGGTGGCTTTCACTAGACAGGAAAACTGATTCTGTCCCTAAGGTGCTCTTCAAAGAGCAAAGTCAGAGAGCTGAATAGGAAATGAAGTGAATTTCAGTGACCCTCGCTGGCCTGAACCACAGGAGCCAGTAAACACAGGATTTCCACTCTATGTGTAGCTTTCTTCTGTGGGGGCCCCTTGGCTATATTTTCACAGGCAAGCATTTCCCCCTGAAAAAAATCATTTAATATATTGATATGTAATGTACACAATAGCTTTAATTATCATATATTAACATGTTGATTTGAATTATTACTGTAACAATTGGGGGGCAGTATGTAGTTTCAGAAATAAATGTGAAATAGAGTCCAAGCAGGTCACGCAATTTCCTTTGGGTTTTATTAGTGATAAAACTACTAGCTCTTCACCCAGGTCTCCTTGAAGAATGATATAAAATACAGCTTTCATCCTATCCTATAATTTTCTGTGTAATGGAGGTGCTTCTTTTGTCACATATCAGAAACAATACTCAGGCAAAGAGATGATGAGCACAGCCATATCGTGATGTCATACAAGAGAGATTCGACCTTGTCACCTAGATCCATTTTCATTTTGTTCCAGAAACTTTACTAACACTGATAAAAGGTTTAACTGTCATCCCATGGCTGCCCTAAAATTATATGTATATGAACATATTATAAAACTGGACTATACCCATATAAAAGCACATCATGGCAGTAAAATTGCGAAATGATCAAGCATCATATCCTTGTAGAGGTTTTTTGTGTTTTGCTTTTCAATAACTAGAGATCTCTTGATCTTTCAAAAGAACTCTCAGATTTTGTAATGATTTCTTCTTAGTCAGAAATACATACATAATTGCATATAGTTTTACTAATATTGGACATTGGATTGCCTTTTTATTAACAACCTGAGTTAATTTAACTCAGGTTAAATTAACATGTGCACACTTAGTTAAAGAGATTAAAAAGGTTGAAGAGGCTGCTGTTTCAAAGCATTTAAGGAAGTGATCATACAGCCTTGATTTTTTAAATGTTTATATTTTGAATTCGATCTTAGAAAATGTAGTTCAAATACAAAAGACTTAAAGCCAAGAAAGAACTTAAAAGAAAGCCTAGGATTTCTGATTCTGGCCATGACAGAAGAAAAATTATTGGAATAGCCTCCTTTTAGAAACAATTCTGATACTGGATAATGTATATGAAACAACTGTTGTCAGATGCTAGACAATAGGCAACAGAGTGGAGAGAGACTCACAAAGTGACTGCTTCAATATCCGCCATTTTCTGCCTGGAGGAACTTACTGCGCTACAGTGTAGGGAGGGGAAGCTCAGGCAGAGTGTGATGGTTACCCTGAGGGGAGAAGCCCAGATCACAGTGTCAGGCTGTGGAGGTGGCTGGAATATGAGGGGCAAAATACCCAGAATAGCCAACTGAATGTAGAAGGAGAGCAAAGTCTTTTGGACAGATGCTATCTGCCTTCAAGTCTTACCATAAAGCACAGTAATAAAGATAGTGTGGTACTGGTGAAAGATAGACAAATAAATTGATGGAATTGGATACAGAAACCAGAAAGAGATCCACACAAATGAAGTCAACTGATCTTTGATGAAGGAGCAAAGCAGTGCAATGGAGAAAAATCTTCTTTTCAATAAATAGTGCAGGAACAACTGGACACCCACATGCAAAAAACAACAACACACTTTATACCCTTCAAAAAAAGGAACTCGAAATGGATCACAGACTTAAATGTAAAACATGAAGCTATAAAACTCCTAGAAGATAACATACAAGAAAATCTAGATAACCTTGGGTTTTATGGTGACTTTTTAGATACAGACAGAATTAAAGGCATGATCCATGAAAAAAGTAATTGATAAAATGGATTATTTTACATATTATCTATGGATGCTTTAATGCTATAATGTCAGAATTGAATAGTGTGACAGAGATCTACCAGTCATACAAAACACAAAGACTAAAATTTTTACAACCTGGCCCTTTACAAAAAAAAAACAAAAAACAAAAAAAAAAATTGCCTATCCCTACCTCACACAATTAATTTTTCTCAAAGAGTGGGCCTCTGACTTAAAAAAAAAAAAAAAGATTTAATTCCAAGCTCTTACTCTTTATGTAACATCAGGCAAATTATTTAGATTGTCTGGATATGTTCATTCAGACAAATAGAGAGACAGAGAAAACTAAATGAAATGGCACAGTTTGCAAATCATGTTTCCTGTTTGAGGATTATTTGTCAGATTGACTATTGATACATATATCATGGAAAAAAGTATGTAAAATGGCTGTTGCAAATAATGGTTTAAAATAAAAACCTTAAACTGAAATGTATTCAATCCCACTTACTTTTAATGCTGTGAACTTCCAGAGAGGAATACTGCATTCAGGGCCTGAAAGCCACCTCTGTAACCCCTATTGTCATTTTAGTATCAAACTATTCTGCTTCCCATGTTTTATTAATGGTGTGAACTTGGGCAAATAATTTACCCTTTATAAACATATTTTGCCATCTATAAAATGGGGACAACAAGAGTACACACCTTGCAGGGTTATTTTGAAGACTAAATGACATAAAATATATGCATCATAGTAGGGCACACGAAAAGCACTCAAAAAAATGAGTGTTATCTTTTCTTTCTCCTCTTGCACACCTTCTTACCCCGCCCTTGCACCATTTCTTGATCCTTCTTAAATGCTCTAAAAATTATCAGCTATTTGCCCTCAAATATTTTATCCTAAAGATATTAACTAAGTATTGTTGTTTGATGTGCCCTTCCTTTAACTATTAAATATCTCTAAACTACTAGACGGAAAAAAAAACCATCCTTCTATTCTTTGGGTCACAGTAACTCATTTTTTTAAGGCTAATCCCTTACTTAATTTAGGAAAATTTCTATTTTCCCCTGTCAAGAAGTCTTATTTATTTTTTGAAATTATATGCTACATTAATATATGGCAGGACTTATATTTTGGAGTTTGGACTCTGGAAAGTCAAATTAAATTTCTTAACACAGAATTCTTATTTATAGGATTCATCATTTTGATAAGAGAGAAGTCTCATATAGGACAACATAATGCTGAATAAGAAATCTTGAAAGTGAATGCTTTAGAAGGGAATCGATGCAGTTGTAATTCTGCACAATAGAGTGGTCGAAGTAGGAGTTCCTAGAAAACAATGTGGTTATTTAAATTCCACCTTGAAAACTGAGTGACAGTTTGCCCAGGGAACTATTGTGCTCTAAATTCCATCGCAAGACAAATCTTGCCTTCCCACAAGCCACTGAAAAGCCTTTTATTTTGTCATCTTCTTCCAAAGGCTCCTCAAAACCTTCCCAACAAACCAGGATTTTCTGCCGTAAAAAACAAAGGCTGTGTTTTTAAAGAAAAGGAATATATCACCTCCCTCAAATTAAGCATCATGAAAATGAAAATTCTAGTAATTTCTCAGCAATTTCAGAAACTAAACAATCTGAACACTTTTTAAAATGCTGTCTTACACCGAATCATTTTAACTTCTTTATTCTTGTCCTTTTTGTTGCCAGCTGTTCCACAAAATAACTACTTAACACCTATCATAAAAATAGACTTCGCTGGCTAATAAAATCAGTGACGTGCTGTGAAACTTGCCTAAGAACCCATGTTTCAGGGCCATATACTTAATCTGAACTTCCTAAATATGCATATAATTTTTAGAATAATTATATTTTAGAAGCCACTCTCAGAAATTATCTTCCTAACGAAAACACTAGAAACAGCTTAGAAAGGGTCTCATATAATATACTAATGTAAACACCTACACGCATTCACACACATACACAGGGTTCTTAAGGCTATGTAGTACTTTCATTAAAAAGTAGATTCATATTTTTGCTCCTGAGATCTTTGAGATTCTTTAAAATAAACATTAAGAACTTAAACATAATTGTATTTTGTAAGTTACCCAAAGCTAACTTCTTCCCCAAAGTCACTGCACATTTCCACAGGGCTCTGGCTTTTTGTCTAGCCCCAGGGAGACCCCCCACACACACACCAGTAGAAAAACACAGAATTCAGGACAAATGTGCTGTCCTCCTGGGTGTCCTTCACCACTGGCATCTTTACTCCGGCTAATTCTTCCCGTGTGGAACACCTCCTTCTAAAAGTGCCGTAGGAAAAAGCTTACTGTGATGTGTAATCATGGCACCCACCCTTTTCTAGTCTCGCTTAGAGTCCTTCTGTAAATCACAGAAACCAACCGGGAAGTTGGTGGGGCTGGGAGTGCTGTCCACTTCTCCATTAGGTTCCAGGTGATTCCCAGGATGCTGGTGGACCAGGGAGGAGCTGGGTGGCTGCAGCTGGGAGAGGTGAGTGGTCTGTGAATGCCATCTACCAGCCTTGGATACCAAAAAATCAGTGGCAATATTAGAGAACCCCCATCCTGGCTGGAAGCCCGGACTGACAGATTTGAAAATGATCACTACAATTGGGGAAAATCTTCCCAGGCTCTGTGCATATAAAAAATGTTAAGGTTATCTCACACTCCTTTCTAGGAAGACAGAGCCTCTCCATCAAGGAAAGCTGCTGTGGAGAGAAACCAAAATGATCAGTGTTGAAACACTGGGATTGGGAAATCTAGAAGGAATGGTGCTCAGATGACAGGCTGAGGAAGCAAATCCCAGAAAACATGCAGCTGGACACAAGGCTTCTTCATCAATATAATTAACTCTGAGAAACAATAAAACAACTGCAGGATATATTTTGAGTCCTTCCAAGTTATTATAACTGAGTGGGGAGAACTGAATCAGTGAAGCTAGAAAAACTATGTTGGCTAACTTCATCTCCTGACACCCCCTAACCAGAAACCCTTTCCTAAAACTCCAGGAAAATCCACCTCCTGTAAACATAGGCAAAAACAACAAAAATATAAAGTTATCAAAAGAAAAAGGTGGGAATAACATTAATAATACACAAACACACAAGAACGTACTAGAAAACTGTGGTTGAATGCACCTACAAGAAAAATGTTTTTATATTGGCCAGTGAAGCACAATCAAACTCTATGCTGTATTAAAGAAATAATCCTTTAACAAAATGATTCAGAAAAGTAAAAATAAAAGGGTGGGCAAATAACTATCAAGCAATTAAAAAATGGACCATACACTTAATATTAGACAAGTTTGAATTCATGTCAAACCATTTTAACAAGACAAATAATGACACCTAATAAAGTCTGAAATACACAGTGAAAATATAATACTATAACAACACAGAAGAGGAGAACTAAACTATCTCTTTCAGATTTAGATAATTACAGATTAAGTGGACATTATCAATAAAGGCAACAGCCATTTATAGTATAGATACTATGTATACTACACTTTGGTAATAGACAAGATACTTTCACTTGTAAGTGCACATGGAATATTTGTAAAAATTTCCTATATATTAAGGCCTGAAAGAAGCCTCAATAAATTAATAAAAAAATACAAACTGCATTTTCTAACTTCTAAACAATAAAACAAAACTTAGTAAAATGAAGAGTCTTTTGAAAAATTAACAATATCCTCCATGAATAAATCTATGGGTCAAAAGGAAAATACAAAATAAAAGTATAGAATTCCTAGAAATTTTATAATGAAAACAACATTACAGAATGTAGAATATGGCTAATATTGTCCTTGGAGGAAAGATCATGTCATAAAATAACTATACTACTAAAAGTGAAATAACATAATTAGATATCAAAATCAAAGTAATTAAGGATTAAAGCATTAAAATATTATTATTATTAAAATAATAATACTGTTATACAGCTTTGACTGTGGGCATGTTAAAGTATATTACATATTTAAAAGATAAAGTATATTCAAAAGAAAAGAGCAACCATCAATTTAAAACAATCTGAAACTAGCAAACTTAATTAATTTTCAAGTTGGTGACACAATTCACGAAGAATAGAATTATTCTAGTTGACTATAGGACACAATATGTTCATTGTACACCCACACATGTACACATAAGAACATGTTCTAAGAATGAATAGAGCCATAAATTTACCTTCTGCTATTAATGAGAACAAATATTCTAGTGCAAGGGAAAAAAAGTAAGTATAAAATCAAAAATATTTGAGGAAAATTCATGTTAGATTTTAGTTAAGTAAAATTCTACGTGTTAGAAATATCTATACAATTCCTGTTTAGTTTGAATAACAATTTACTAGCTCTGTCCTTAAACATTTTCAGAATCAATGATAACCCAAAGGCAAAGAGAATTCCTAATCTCTGGATTTTCTCCTCCATATCTTATTCTCCACTAAAATGAACTAGAGCTTCTTAGAGCAGCTAATTCCAGATGTAAAGCAGGAAACATACAGGTTGAGCTTAGAATGTCTTGTGCCAAAAAAGACATTATCAAAGCCTGATGGGTTGAGCGTAAAGGACAAAGAAAGCAACATAAAAGTCTTCCATCAACTAAAGGTGGACAAATTTTAGCATCAAAAAAATAATTTATTTAAATTCATTGAATGTGTAAAAACCCATAGGTCCATAATAAATTTATGGAAGAGAGAGAGAAAGAGAAATATCTAGGGCACCAACTCCTTACACAGAAAATTGAAAATTGTCAATGAAAAGAAAAAAGTTAAGCATTTATTCCAACTCTCCTGCATACACTATAATTCACAATAAATACATAAGGCTATTTGATGAAATGAATTTCTCCTTTAGAGAAGAAATGTAGTTAAATGTGCAAGGAATGACAAAGTCAGAAAAATCACCAATTTTGCAACACCCGATGAATAAATTCAATTGGGGATCTATTCTCAGTGGGGTAAAAAATTGATGAGGAATTTGGCAAGGAAGAGACCAGGGTTTCAACACCTGAAAATTATCAATCTCAGCATCTCTAAAACTGGAACAACCAGACTGTGTGAAACATACAGCAACTGCTTATGATAGATTTGGCTGGGGGGGCAGGAGTGGAATAAGTTGAACCTGAATCCAATCAAGCCTCTAGAGTGTATATGAATACTGTTTTTTAATGCAGGAAATATTGGGGTAAAGGGAAAAGTTTCAAGCTAAATTACAACACAAAGAAGAAAAAAGGGCTATCAAAAGTTGGGACAGTCTACCGGACTACTACCTGTTTTCTACAGCAAGTCATTAACATCAAAATAAATAAAAAGATGGCAGCAAGGGATGGAGACTGTTCTAGATTTTAAAAGCCTTAGGCATCATGACAAGTTAATGTGATGCGTGAATTCTGGATTCTGATTTGAACAAAACAACTTTTGCAGACATTTTTGAGACATCTCATGCCACAGAAGTATTGTTAATTTGTCAGGTATGATGAAGGCAGTGCTGTTACGTAAGGGAAAAAAAATATTTTTTAAGATGCATACAAAAATATATAGGGGTGAAAAGATGTGACAACCTGAGATTTGCTTCAAAATACTATAGCAAAGGAAAAGAAAGGAAGCAAAACACAGAAATAGCTAAGGTAAATGCAGCAGAACTTTGATAAATAAATCTGATTGATGAGTACATTACATTCATTACGCTGCTCTGTGTGCTTTTGTGTTTATGTGGAAATACAGTTTCAAAAAAAATTTTTTTTTTGAGACGGAGTCTTGCTCTGTTGCCCAGGCTGGAGTGCAGTGGCTCGATCTCTGTTCACTGCAAGCTCTGCCTCCCGGGTTCACGCCATTCTCCTGCCTCAGCCTCCCAAGTAGCTGGGACTACAGGCACCCGCCACCATGCCCAGCTAATTTTTTGTATTTTTAGTAGAGACAGGGTTTCACCATGTTAGCCAGGATGGTCTCGATCTCCTAACCTCATGATCCGCCCGCCTCGGCCTCCCAAAGTGCTGGGATTACAGGCATGAGCCACCGTGCCCGGCCCTCAAAAAATGTTTTTATAAAAGATTGTCACAGGGAGGCAGCCCGGTATCTCAGAAAAGGCATTAGGTTTGAAATCAGACAGACTTGAATTCAAATCTAGCCCTAACATTTATTCTTTGGTTTGGAGAAAGTTATTTATTTCCATTAGACAATTTATACTAACTTCTGTTGCCTCACCTATAAAACAGGAAATAGATTTTCTAAGCCAATACTTGGATAATGGGAAGATTCTCCTTTTAACATCATTTCCTGGGGACTAGTCAGAAAGTTTCTCATGGCTCCTACAATGTCTAAATTACCTTTAAACTCAAAGGAGTTGCTAGTTTTCCTTAATCTATGAAGGGTTTATAAAATATACCACTCCTATGCAATGCTAGTCTAATTATCATTAACAAGAAACTCTCCTACTGAGGATTTCTTGGAAATCGTGCTGTTATTAAGGAAGCTAGCATGATTATTGTGATATATTAACAAAATTGTGGTGTGTAATTACTTCACCGTATCAATACAGCTAAAGCGCACTGTAGGCCATTCAGGCATGTATGCCTACTGATATGAAGGAACTAGAGATGGTCCCAAAAGAATTAAAATTAAGGAAATGTGCATATCATGAGACACTTTCAGCAAAACTGGGATAAGGCATTGTTTATAGAAACGCGTAATGATCCTCTTCAAAATTATATATGGTAATTTAGAGTAGCATGGCCTATACTGTAGGGCAAAGGGTGAAAGGAAATACAAATAAAGAAATAATTCACATTCTTCAATTATAGATCTCTCCGTGCAGAACATATAGAATTGTGTTACAAAAGATTCTCTTAGGATGTAATAGAAAAATGTTTATTTCTAAGGATAAGTGAAAGGAGAGATATAAATATTTTAGCTCTGAATGAACCATTTCAAAAAAATGTTTTGAGAGTTTGTTAGCAAACAACATGGAAAGAGTTCAGGCTACAAGAGACCATTGTATGGGTCCTTCTTTTAAAAAAGGAAAGAACAAAATCTCAAATGCTCTTTAAGAAGTTAGAAATTACAACATAAAATACATGTATGTATTACATTCTATATGTTAAGGATTTTAGCTGATTTTAACTAAAATATAGTCTAACTTCTTAAGGAGCAACAATTTACTGAAAAAGACTGAAAAAGAAAAGAAATATTTAAAATATAGAGTGATAAGCATTTGGCACAAAGAATTATGGAAAGGAGAAAGAAAGAAGCAGCCTATGATTGATTGGATGTGTCCATTGCAGAAGTGACATTTGATCTGAGCCTAAATGGATGAGAGAGATTTCATCATGGAAAGAAGCGAATTATACACAGAAGAAGAAACAAAAGGGCACAGAAGCTTGTGTTCAAGAGAAGGTGAGTTGTTCCTTGTGCCTAAGTAATAGACCACCACGATCAAGATATAGACTGTTCACCCACTCTGAAAGTTTCCCTTTGGGATTAGCCCCGACCCCCTCCAATCATGGCCCCAGGCAACCACTGATCTTTCTGTCATTTCTAGAATTCCATATAAATAGGATCATACTGAAGATAGTTTTATCGTGGTTGACTTCTTTCACTTAACATATTTGTAAGATCACTGGGTCATTTCATGTATAATTTACTTCATTCTTGCTTGTTTCTGAGTAGTATTCCAGAGTGTAGATATACCACAATTTCTTTCTCTCTTTATCCATAGCTGGTCATTTGGGTTTGGGGCTACTACAAGTAATGCTGATATGAATATTCACATACACATTTTCTGTGGATGCATGTTTTCAATTTTCTTGGATAAATGCATAGGAATAGAATTAGGTACAGGTATTTTGACTGTTTCCAAATAGCTGTACCACTTTGCATTATCCCTCAAGTAATGCCTGAGAGCTCCAGGGGCTCTGTATCATTTCCAGCACTTGGTGTTGTCAAGCTTTTGAACTTTAGCTATCTTTAGAGGTATATAATGACATTTTGTGGTGGCTTTAATTTGCATTTCCCTGATAACTAGTGATGTTAAGAATTGTCTGATGTGCTTAAAAACCACTTGTACATCTTCTTTTGAGAAGTGTCTGTTCAAATATTTTGCCCATTTTAATCAGCTCTTTTCCTTGTAAGGTCCTCACTCTCTTCAGTGTTCATAGTTTGGCAGTTTCACTTTTCTGGTTCTCCAGGGAAGAAAATCTGGGCTTTTTCATGTGTGCCCCTGCCACTACTATTCATGCTGTGCCAACTGGCCTTGGTCTGAAACTAAAAGCTGGGGAGACAGGAATGCACTTAAATAGCTCTCCCTCTTTCCTCTTCCAAATCTGAATTTCCCATCACAGTCTGTCTGCTTCCAGTCACTCCCCAGTACCTTTTAATGTTGCTTTTTTTTATATTGTGTCCAAGTTTTCTGAAGCAGGGGGTTATTCAGAAGGATATTGGACCATCGTATGTGGAAGTTTGATATATTTTCCTTTTCAGTATCATTCCATCTAAAATAGTCTCCAAATGTCTTCCTGTAACTGTGTAACTTGGGAATTTTTCCTAGGTGTCTTATTGTAATTGGTTTCTAATTTAGTTCCACTGTGGTAAAAAAAAATAAATAAATAAAAATAAAAAAAAATAGACTGTGTGGTTGCAACCCTTTTAAATGTATTAAGGTTTATTTTATGGCTATCACAGTGAAAGACCATGTATGTGGATGTGAAGAACATGTGTATGGTAGTCTGAAGTTGTTGAGTGAAGTATTATAAACATCAATTGGGTTAAGATATCATCCAGAACATCTATAACTTTGTTTATATTTTGTCTACTTATTTTTGATCTTTCTCCAGTGCCTTCAGAGAGTTGTTTTGTATTTTGTCCAGAATTTACGGTTGTTATCTGTGAGAGAGCTGATTTGGTAAGAGCTTTCTTGGTCATATGAAAATGAATCTTGCCTTGTTTATTTTTAAATTCTCTTTATAGTATATTTATACTTCCTGAAATGTCTATTTTCAATCTAATCAAAGATTTTTCTTAGTTTATTCTAAGATTTCCCAAGCCACGTTTTATGAAAGAATATTCTTCGAGATGTTAATAGTTGTTTTGTTAGTAGAAGAGGAGTATAGAATGTTTTGGGAACAGAAGTTTTGGGAAACACTGCATTCTATGGTCTCTTCGTGGAGACCTATAAGGCTCATTAGAAAGTAAGTTCTTTCTGAGAAATCTTGCAGTAGGGAAATATGTTAAACTTTGTTAAATCAACATCTACTTATTTGAATACAAGGCCTGTCCTTCACATAATACTTCACATCACATATAACCAAAGTTAGTGGGCTCCTCATCTATTTCATCCCACTCAATTTCACGTGCCAAGCTTTCCATGACAGGTTATTTTCCTGTGGCTTTTTTTTTTTTTTTTTTTTTTTTTGCTTTCTTGCCCATATTTCTATTGTCTGAACTAATGAAAGGTATGTTAAATCTACTGGAAACCATGACCCAACGTTAGAAACATAATTTTGCCATAAAGCCAAAGTATTAAAAAAATTGTATTTCAAAGGTTCATTTTACAATTGTATCCTTACTCTTTGGATCTTATAAGCAGTCCACTTTTCCAACAGTGTGAAGCCCCAGGTTTCTAGCATCTTTCTCTTGCTTTGTCATTTCTCTGGCGAACTGGCCCGTTCATCCTAGGGCTCACCTCTTGTGATACCTTGCCAAAGACAGCTAATAGCAATTAAAACCCACGATTAACCTTCAGTTTTCCAGTCTCCTCCCCTTGAGCACAAATCTCTCAGGTAATCTAAAGATCTGCCTCTCAAATATTTTGTGATGATTTGCCATCTATACAAAAAGATCATTTTCTTTATCACTCACCATGTAGGAATATTGTTCTAGGTAGGAATATTGTTGCCAGATTATTTTTTACTTTTTTTAACTTTTATTTTAGGTTTGGGGGACAGTACCCAAGGTTTGTCACATAGGTAAATACGTGTCACAGGGGTTTGTTGTACATATTATTTCACCACCCAGGCATTAAGCCCGATACCCAATAGTTACCTTTTCTGCTCCTGTCCCTCCTCTTACCATCCCCCCACAAGTGGACCCCAGTATTTTATAGTTTTTATGGAACACCACTTCAGAACCAATTGAAATGTTTTATGGCGATTTTTATCACACCCATCTGTAAATCTGTATGTGCACTCGTATCTTCAGCATTATGATCAATTTCATTTTATAGGCTGTTCTACAGGATTTTCTGTTCACATGGAAAAATATGTTATGTCCACTTTCTAATGTCTGTTAGATCACATCACTCAAATATTCTGTTATTTCTAGTAGGTTTTATTTTGCTATTAGATTTTTTAGGTAATAATCTGACCTAAAAAAACATGTATTTGTATTTTCTCTCTCATCATATTGACATACCTCTTAGCCAACGTTAAAAAAATACTGGTGATAATATCATCCGTACTTTATTCTTGAGTCTAATGCCTCCAAAGTTTGTCATTAAATGCGATGCTGGCTCTTGGATTTCTAAATATAATATTTATAATATAAGAATGTAACCCTCTAAATATATTGAGAATAGATTTTGAATATTATCAAAGGCCCATTTGCATCTATTGAGATAAATTGTCTCATTAATTAATTAATTAAGTACATATTACCACTTCTTATGTGCCAGCACTGGGACTGCAGAGGTGAATAAGGGCAATGCAGCCCCTGCCTCTATTGATTTTCCAGTCCAGAGATGAAAATTATGTTTGCCACTTCTACTTATTTATTTTATGTTCTAACATTATATCATTCTTATATTACTGCTGGAAGCAGTACTTTTATACCTTTCCTCTCCAACGCACACCCTGTGCTCCCATAATAAAATCTCCAAGGCTCGATCAACCAGAAAACTTCACAATGAACTTTCTAGCTTGTGCTATTTGAGGGACAGAAACTACCACCCAGCTCCATCCCTAACTCTTCAATGATCTCCTCATTGATACAAAAATTTACTTTTCTTATTTCAGTTTTTGTCAGGTGAACCCAATAATGTCCTTGATAATATATTCTTTTCCTCCAGTACAGTATCAGCCTAGGGTCAGGCACTGCACTTAGTTCCAAGTCTTTATTGCTTCCTTTACTCAAAAACATTTCCACAGGTTTGTTTTTTATAACTTTGACACTTTTGAAGACTATAGCTCTTCTCTTCCCCCTTCTCTTTCTTTCTTTTCTTTTCTTTTTTTTTTTTTTTGATACAGAGTTTCACTCTTATTTCCCAGGCTGGAGTGCAATGGCATGATCTTGGCTCACTGCAATCTCTGTCTCCCGGGTTCAAGCAGTTCTCCTGCCTCAGCCTCCCGAGTAGCTGGAATTACAGGTGTCCACCACCACACCCAGCTAATTTTTTGCATTTTTAGTAGAGATGGGGTTTCACTGTGTTGGCCAGGCTGGTCTCGAACTCCTGACCTCATGATCCGCCCACCTCAGCCTCCCAAAGTGTTAGGATTACAGGCATGAGCCACCGCGCCCAGACTCCCCCTTTTCTTTTAATAGAATATTCTTCATTATGGGTGTTTCTGAGGTTTCCTCATAATTATTTTCCAATTATGCATGTTCAGCCATAATATTACACAGAGATGACAAGCCCTTTGTGGCATACCACATCTGGAGATACAGGAAATAGTCCTACTAAAGTCTGACCACTGAATCACATGGCAATAACATTTTCATCATTATGCAACACCCTGTCTAATATCTAACCCCACACATCTTAAGAGTTTTTTGCTGCCATTACAGTAACACCCGCCCTCCAGGTACAATTTTCTTTTCTCGTCAGTTTATGCCAATTATGTTGTGATAATAAACACCCTCCAAGTAGTCTTGACACCACAACAAAGTTCCTTGCTCCCTCACATTGAATGTCAGCTGTGGGAAGGCCCCAGCTTTGTTCTGTTGCACCTTCGCAATGGGACTGAAGATGAAGGGGCAGCCCTCGCGTGAAGCATGCCGCTCAGGAGCAGAGGGAGGGGGGTAATGGGAGCACCACCTGCCTTTTAATGCACCTCCTTGGAAGGAGCATGCGTTGCTTCTTCAATCATTTTATTGGCTGAAGCAAGTTGTATGGGAAAATATGACATCAATTGGTGAGGGGTAAGTATAATCTCTCACAAAAAGGAACAGAAAACACTTGAGAAAAATAGCACAGTCTACCAGAGTAACAGTCTTAACCAGGAGAAGAAATGAAAAACACAAAAACAAAACACAAAAGACAAAAACAAAAAAAAAACAGTATGTGGGGGTTTGGGCCTGGTGATAGATGGATTCAGTTCTAGGCACACAGAGCCTACGGTGACATTCAGTTACTTATGGACTTCTGCCTCAGGGGAAGGTCTTGGTTCAAATTTGATCATTCTCTCAGTAGAGGTTGCCTGGTTGCCTAAAATAGAAAATCCACTCAAACAGGCAGAGAAATAGTCAAACTCCTTCTTACAGCCCATATCAAGCTCCCCATCTGCCTTCTGTGTGACAATGCTTGGGCTGCTCTCCACCTCACACATGTTGCTCCAGGGACACATAATTCTTCCAGATCAGCAAACAAATCAGGCCCCCTTCTTCATTCTGGGCCTACCTTGCTCTTCTCTCTTTCCAGGCCTCTCTGCCTGCTCATTCAAAGGGCTCCCACTTCTAAACCCTAGGGCTCGGCATAAAACTCATTTCATCTAGAAACCTTTTCTCATAGCTCTTTCTAAAGGAGTCCTCATTTAGACTATATTTTTCTCTAGCACAGCATACTGTGCTTTATACTCATCTTGGTCCTTCCCAGAATCTGTAATTATTTTAATTGTTTATTGCTGTATTTTTATCTTGTTCACTTCTTAAAGTGCAGCCTCCTCAAAGGAAGGAACCGTCTCTCTTTGGGTCACCATTTATTTCTAAATCCTTGGCACAATGCCTGGCATACAGTAATTAATATTTTGTATTAATATTTCAGTGAGTTTATTATAAAGATAACATGGTAAATTTGTTAGGTGGCAGTTTGGCAATAAAAAGATGCTTTAAATATGTTATCATGTCTTTGTTCTATAAACATCACTCAAGGCATCTCTAGGTTTAACAAATGTGAGACAAGTGAGCAGTTTGACTTTGATTTGCTGTAACTGGAACGTGAGGATTAATTAAGTTTGTTTCTTCCATTGTCTTATTTTTAGATAAGCAAGAATTTGGGTCAACAGGCTCATGGGCTAAGGAGACCCTTGGGAATATAAGGATCAAGAGAACTACCTCTTCCCTTTTGAGATCCAAATGCTATTATTAGCACATCTCTTTGGGGCTGAGATGGTCTTAAGGCCTCCAAAGAGAGGAGGAAAGGCTGTGGACTGGTTGCCGGGGAGTAAACAACACGCCCTTGATATTAATGGAAGAGGTCTACCTACAACAGAGAGGGTGCATTGGGCCATCTGATCTTCTGAGCCAGCTGCCCCACTGTGGTTATTTATTTATTTATTTATTTATTTATTTATTTATTTATTATTTTGAGGTGGAGTCTCTCTCTGTTGCTCAGGCCAGAGTGCAGTGGCACGATCTCAGCTCACTGCAAGCTCTGCCTGCCGAGTTCACACCGTTCTCCTGCCTCAGCCTCCCAAGTAGCTAGGACTACATGTGCCTGTGACCACACCTGGCTAGTTTTTTGTATTTTTTAGTAGAGACAGGGTTTCACCTTAGCCAGGATGGTCTCGATCTCCTGACCTCATAATCTGCCCATCTCGGCCTCCCAAAGTGCTGGGATTACAGGCATGAGCCACCACGCCCAGGCCCCACTGTGGTTTTATGAGTGTAAACCGGAAAGTTTTATTTCACTTGCTCCTTTGTGAGCCATTGGGTACATCTGTGCAGGAATCTAGACTTAGGTGTGTTAGGATGCTGTTGCAGCTGCAGTCAAGAGACTATCTCACAGTGTGGGCTTAGTCTTCAACACTGGCTCTGCAGCAACAGAGCAAAGGCTGCTATGTGTGTGGAGTTTCTCTATTACCACCCTAGTTAGTTCTGGTCCCCTTCCAGCTAACCATCTGTCTTTCCTACCCTCCACCACTTCTTTTCCCTTTTTGCGTCCTTTCTCCTTCTCTTGGCAGTGCGTGTGTTATCCAAGCCTGGACAATCAGAGACAACGGTTCTCCTGGCCACAGTGGTTGGCATGAGGTGGACACAGGACAATGAGAGTCCTCCCCAGAACATTTCTAACACAGGAATCAGCAAAGATACCCTCACTGTCTTGGGTCACCAGTCACAGGCAAAGGGTGGAGCTGGTTTTGCCATTCGTCGGCAGAAGAGAATGAGAAAAAGCACAACATTCAAAGAGGAAAAGGAGAGAGACCAGGATGACATTACCTGAGCCCCAGATCTCCAGGTTTCTACTCTACCTGAAGACAAAGCTAACCCTAGATTGTTCACTTACAGAAAACACTCATCACTGAGTTTGCTTATTAGTATGAGTTCGACCTTGTAATTTGCAGCTCAGAGTCCTCACCAATATAGATTAAAAATATATGACAAAACAAAATGTTTTCTCCCAGGGATACAGAATGGACATAGGGTAAACGGCATTTGGAAGAGATGATTTCTTGCCCAGTCACCATCCAGCAAGGAAAGCAAAACAAACAAATTACAAATACAAACAACACAAAGAATAAAGACAGGAGAGAAGGGGGGGAAATGAGAGAGAGAGACAAACAGAGACAGAGAGACTATCTCCCTCTGAGCCTGATTAGATTCCAAGCTGCCGGTGAGACACTTATGGCAGAGTAAAATGTGGGTTTTAAGAAGCCACTACTCTGTGATGAGCAGGCAGGCCCCCGATTTATGAAGACAGATATTATTCTTTAAACTTAACGTGTAAAAATAAATAATTAAGAGTTAATACTTGTTCTGGCATTTGAATAATAAAATGACTAGATTATATATGTAAGTTTCTTACATCTTGCCGTTATCTGATCCTTGAATAAAACATAACCTGGACTACCACCACTAAGCTCACAGCACGGGCCTTGCTAGGCCAGCTAGAAGAAACCAGCATTAAAGGCTCAAACAGGAACTCCCCTGCTGTAAAGCACCTGCAAGTCCAACCTAGTACGTAGAAAGCAAATATTATACCCCTTAACAAAAAGTTAAGCTTATGGTTTACCAGGATGTTATGTGTGTGTGTGTGTGTGTGTGTGTGTGTGTGTGTGTGTGTAGTGCTCAACAAGCGATTGTCAATGCGTTCCTTGCTTAACAAATCTCATTAGCCATCTATTTTAAACCATTTGGGAAGCCACTCAAAAGGGGTGTTTGAAGAGGGTTTGGAGAAGGAGTGACATAAGGATCTGGCAGGGTTAATGGAAACCAGGAGGGTGGTGGAGCATCCAGAAGATGCAAGGGGAGGGCACAGCTCCCGGAGCCTGCAGAGAGCTGTGGCTGTCAGAGAGGCCTGCTCCACAGGAGCTGCGGCCTCCGTAAAGAAATGCAGCCAACCCACAACCCAGCAGGGAGGAAAAGGGAATAAATACCCTGACCTCCCTCTCCCCCACCCCCTGATCTTCTGCCAGTGCCTCTACATGGCTAAAGTTAACTCCATGTGGGAGGGCAAGGGAGACTGTCCCTATGTGGTCCCTGGAGAACAGACTAAGGGTCACAAAGTGGGTGGAGGAGGACAGAGAGCAGATTCAGAGCGGGAAATGGAAAGTGCTCTGCTCTCCTTTTCAAGCACAAATTATTGTCTCTTTTAGTTTAACGACACTATGTTTTTGAGAACTTGGAAAACTTATTAGGAGACTATTTGAATTTTGACATTACAAAGACTGACTGATGTTTTCAGCACATACATTATATGAGCATGCCCTACTGGTATATTGCGTTTCACTATTTTCCTCTTTTGATTACTTTATAAGGTTAGCGGGTTTTCTGTTCAATCTTGCTTTTGTATGGAATTAAAATACATTTATACAAACTGGTTTCTTTCAAGAAAACTTCCTTGGGAGTAGGTGCCACTTCTGGATGTGACATCTCCAAGAGTGGATTAGACTGCTACATAAGGACCTAACATTCTCAAGACAGCCAACTCTTCTTGCTGGCTTACTCGAACAGATGATTTCCTAGAGGTATTGGTAAAGAGGCTGCTCTGTCTGCAAAACCCTAAAAACCAAGGGGTTTCCCACCCTCTGACTATAATAGAGTCCTCTGACCCTTGCAGTTGGTCAACATTTTTTCACACACATACAAAATAATTTTTGATAAATTATAACCACTCTGGCCAGGAGAATGAATTCACATTATTTACTGGAAAAACAGGGCCAGATAAGAACTCTGAAAGAAATCATTTAAAACATTTGAGTCAAGTTCCTTTATCTGAAAACATCTATATATTTTACAGATATCAAAAAAGAGGAGCTATAAATAACTTGTCACTATGCTTTGAGTCCTATTAATAATATGTGGAGTTCTTTCAGCCATTTCTGAGTAAAGACAACTAAGATTTAAGAGCAAAGAAATGGAAAGTTCAGATCTTGTGAAGTAAATAAGGCACACTTTGGATAAATGTTTAGGGAAATATTTTCCTGCAGGCAGTCGGTAAGCCAGTTGAGTGGCTGTGATAACACTGAGGATGTTCCCATTCTCAACTTGTCTGTGTCCATCTAAGGATAAACCTTGATTGTTGTTTAACTGTGCAGAGTTCAGGTATTCACACCTCTCTTCAATTAGACAATTCACAATTCCTCTGACTATTATCTCGACCCAGGTGGCTCCGCTGACTCGACTATGTTTCAGCCCATGCAGTGGAAAAATGATGAACTGGAGACAGCCTGTCGGACTCTGAGAGTCATGACACACTTATTTCAGGGAAAATGTAGCACTTCATCTTCACAGCTCCTGATGAAATATTACCACTTTTGCTGTAGTAATCAAAAAAGTTAAACTCACAGTCTTCTAGATACAGATTTAAACATTATTAATGCAAAATCTTTAAACCTACAAGATAGATCTACCTGCAAAAAATATGGTAAGAGCAAAGATGCCACAGGCCTGACAGGACTGGCCCCCTCACATGCCCCGCTGTCTAGCTGCTACAAAGACTCAAGAACCATAAGAAATTAAAAACTAATTTTAAAAAATAAGAGAAGCAAAGAAAAGAAGAAACAAAGGCAGGATAAGAAAGTACAAGAAGAGGAGGAAATAACAAGTTCTTTCAACAATAAAGTGAACAGAGTGCTGTGTTTCACAGCCTGGCTGCGCTTGAAAATCCCCTGGGGACTTTAAAAATTCTGAGCTCTGAGTTCTGAGCTCCCCCAAGACTGATGGCATCAGAATCTATGGAAATGGACATCGGTTGGGTATTTTGGTTTAACCTTCCTTCAGGTGATTCTGATGTATAGCAGACTTGAACGTCACTGATGAGGTGGTCATACTTGGCTTAATTCTTTTAATGTAGATATATCTACACATGTAGATGTATATATATGTATATATATAATATGTAGATGTAATATAGGTAATGTAGAGATATATATACATAAATAGATGTATACACATCTATACCTACGTTATCTACATATCTACATTATCTACATATGTGTATATATGTATATATATATATCTATACATGTATATGTATGTGTATATATGGATATATATGTGCAATATACAAAATATTTTAGTTCATATCTCTTCTAGATTTCCAATTATTGAAAAGCATTACTCTCATGTGATTTATTATTTGCTTTGCTCATCAGGACTTTATTATATTAATAATACATGTTCTACGTTTTGGGGTTTCCATTTTTAAGAAAACACAGATTCTTTATTATCCTTATTAATGAAACGAGCAAAAAATAATTTATGTCATAAGATATTGTCCAACATAAATATCTTTTTACTATAACTTGATGCCATCTTTGCAGAGAAGAAAAGTTTAGGACATCGTCAAAAAAGCAAAAATAAATACATATATAGATAGATAGAATAAAACAAAGTACGTATACATATGTTACTCTTTTTCACCTAAAAACCGTTCTGGATTATTTTCTTCTGATGCTCACAAACTGTATCACTGAAGTTTTGAAGACTTAAAAGCTATTAAAGCTGTAGTGTTTAGACTGAGTTCTCTGTTAATGTTAAATCTAATAGTAAAGAAATACCAGAAAAAACAAACAAACAAGAAAAATGCTACTTTCAGGACTCTGTTCCAATAAGTAACTTATGAGAGACACTTGCTTGTAAATTTCCATGAATCTTGCCTTCGGGGAATTTTCCTATTGAATACCAGGACTGCAATACAAAATGTGGGCTTCTACGAAATGCTGCTGTAGGAATGTGTGCTGTAAGAAGAGCCCCACTTCCTTCTGTAATAACCAGTTTTCTCCTAACCAGAAAGGCATGGGCTTTAATGCAAAGCTCTACGGATTTACTGTCCTCCAAGATGCTTGGGCACCACAGAATACTGTCGGACTGCATTATGTGAAGGGATCACAGGTACCATTGCAAGTGAAAGTTCCAGTATCACACATACCAAGGTCTTGATAGCATATGATGGCGTAAAATTTAACAATGTATTTTTCTAACTGTTGAACATTAACTCCTAAGGAGCCCAGGGCTAACATATAAATAGCTAAGTGTTTAATTGCCCAGTTAAAGGCTGTTCACATAGTCCACTTATTCTTCCACGTATAGACAATTTGAAGGGCTTTTTTTTTTTTTTTTTTTTTTTGGTAAATTCATGAAAGGTTTTTTCCCTTGGAGTTAATACCTAAAGAGGAAAGAGAAGCCAATGGCATGCAGTTCTTTTAGTCGGCCCACATGCGGAAAGCTGTTAGGCCTCCCTTCACTTAGTCAAACTCCAAGGAGCAAGTGTCAAAACCCTTAACTGACTGTGAAACTGACAGATGCACTTAGTCACCAAAGAGCTTTGACACTGCTTATCTCCAACCCTTCCTAAAAACTCTGCATTTAAAATTATTTTTTTAACAAATACAGGAAAGATATTGCTTTCATCAGAAGATACGATATTTGTTTATGATCGTGTATCTTATTTTAAACTCCAAATCCAATGTCTATCTTCACAGGATTCCTTTTATATTTTTAATAGGAGATTACGCAATAAGAATAAGTAACAAATTGAGAGAGACTAACCTAAGAAGCATGATAGGAGGGCAAATGTAGATTGTAGTTAGGAATGCTTGCCATTTAGAGAAAGTGATTTATTGCACTGGACAAATTTTACTTTGGGTATGAACACTTAAAAAATGCAGAATCTAAAATTAAATCAACATCCTTTCATGATTCAAAGGTCATCAAAATGCATAAATTCACATGCTTAGTCTGCCACTTTTCCCTAAAAAAAGAAAACATTATACACTAGTAAACTTTTTAAAAAATCTAATGGGAATTGTATGAAAATATTGCCTTAGTTTATGAAAATAGAAGTGATTTTTATTTCCTTTTTTATGCTTTCTTAATATTCTACAATTAATATACTATTTTATTTATAATAAAAATGCTAAATAAAGTGTATGTTTTGTATCTTAGAATTTTCCTATATGTTACATATGTTACTCCTTAGCACAAATATGAAAAACAAATTATTTTTTTGATAAGGAAATGATAACAGAAAGGCATTTAATTTCATTGACATTTGATGGATTTATATTTTCACCCCAATGCTAGAAATAACAAAAGTGGAAAACTTTGGTAAAGTCATCTTTCTTATTTTTATCCAGGTCAGAGAATGATGCCATTAAATTGTTTATAGAGCTGAAGTTAAAATTGTTATAAATAAATTATATCATAAAAAATAGCTTGTGGTGGCTCATGCTTGTAATCCCAATACTTTGGGAGGCCAAGGCAAGCAGATTACCTGAGGTCAGGAGTTCGAGGCTAGTCTGGTCAACATGATGAAACCCCATCTCTACTAAAAATACAAAAAAATTATTCTGGGGTGGTGATGTGCCTGTAGACCCAGTTACTTGGGAGGCTGAGGCAGGAGACTCCCTTAAACCCGGGAGGTGGAGGTTGCAGTGAGCTGAGATTGCGCCACTGCACTCCAGCCTGGGCAACAGAGTGAGACTTCCTCTCAAAAACAAACAACCAACCAAACAAACAAAAAACAAAACAAAAAAAACCACCTTGTAACATAATCCAAATTTTTCTTAGCTATAAAGAATGAATCAAAAGGCATCAGCAATTAGTAGTTTTTCTAAGAAGTTTAACGTGTTTTCATTTATGTTTTTTAAGAGTAGAAAAGTAGGATATTGAATAATGATACTTTTCGTTTTACTCAAACTCTTGAATGCTGGAATATCCTGCTATATTTATTAAAAAGTTCCCAGACAGTACCTAGACCTTAAAACTGTGTCTTATTATACAGACCAGAAAACTGATTCTTAATGATGCTAAATGTCAGACTTAAAGTCACTGAAGTGCCTTGTAGAAGTGGGACTTGAATCCAAGTCCCTATATGTCAGTGTAACACTTTTTCACATGTACCATATTGCTTCTCCTGTTGTTTCTCAATGTTGTCATTGTGAATATTGATTAAAGTTAAATTTTGTCAAATTAGTATTATAAAAATGTTCAAATATACAAAAACAGAAAAAACTCTACAGTGAACACTCATGCACCTGTCACCAACATTCTGCCATTAACTTTTAACTGTATCTCATAAAACTCTTTGTCTAGAAGTCTGGTTTATCTGATATTAATGTAGTCACCTCAGCATTCTCTGGTTCTTATTTGAATGTTATAATGCTTTTATTCAATTAGTTTCAGCCTACTTGTGTTTTTATATTTAAAGTCTCTCTCTTTCTCTCTCTCTACATCATATACAGTTGGGGCTTGCTATTTGAATCCATACTGATAATCTTTGTCTTTTCATTGGAAAGCTTATGCCATTTACATTCAATGTAATTATTCAAATAGCTGGTTATGTGTCTGCCATTTAATTTTTTCCTGTGTCTTGTCTGATTTTGTTCCTATCTTTCTCCTTTACTACCTTATGGGAGGTAACTAAACATTTTTTACATTTTCATTGCATCTGCTGGCTTTTTAGCTGTACCTCATTGAATCATTCTTTTGCAAGTTGTTCTAGAGAATACTATATATAGCCTTAAATGTTTATAGTCTACTTAAAGTTAATATATCATTTCCCCAAAAAATAGAGAAAACATGCTACATAGGTTCTTTTACTTTTCCATTCTTTAGCCTATTTCTGTCATATGCATTGTCATAGCTAATACATATGTTATAATGGTGTTAATTTTTTTTCCAATGGTCATACATAACCTAAAGAAATTCACAGAAACATCATCTTTTTTAAATATCTAAATATTTATACTTCCATCCTAGAATTCTCAGTTTCCATCTATCATGATACCTTTCAACATGGTGAACTTCCTCTAGAGTATGTGTGCTGACAAAAATTTACTTAGTTTTAACATTTATGTAAGTGTCTTCAGTTCGCATTTTTTCTTGAAGGATATTTTTACTGTATATAGAATTCAAGGTTGGTGGGACGTTAAAGATCTCTTGCCCTCCATCATTTCTGATGATAAATTAGTCATTATTCATATAGTTGTTTTCTTATATGTAATACGGTATTTTATTCTGGCCACTTTCAATATTTTCTGTTTACTTTTTTATGTATCTTTCTTGGACTATGCTGAGCTCCAATCTATAAAGTTATGTCTTTCAACAAATTTGGGCAACTTTGCAAATTCTTTATCCAAATATTCTTTCTGCCCTATTATCTTTATTTTTTCATTCCGGAATCCCAATTACACCTATGATTGATGTTTTGATATTGTCTCCCAAGTCCTCAGGCACTTTTCACTTTTCACTTTTTTCCTATTTTTTTCTTCCTGGTTCTTCAGATTGGTAATTTCCATTAATCTGTCTTCTCCTCCAGTGACTCCTTTCTACCACCTTGAATCTGCCATTAATTTCATTCAGTAAAATGTTGAAACTTCAGATATTGTGTTTTATAGTTCTACAATTTCCATTGAATCATTTTTTTCATATTTTCCATATCTGTGTCCTGAGATTTCCTATTTGTTATGCTGATTACAAATAGGTTTTTAATACCTACAGTAGATGAATGTTAAGTCCTCTGATAAATTTAGTGTCTATCTCATCTCAGAGCTGGTCTCCATTGATAGCTTTTTCTGTTAAATATGGGTTATGTGTTCCTGAATTTTTGTAGATTGAGTAATTTCTGAATTATATCCAGAAAATTGTGAATTTTAAGTTGTGGATATTTTGGATTTTGCTATATTCTTCCAGAGGGTGTTAATTGCTTTGATTAGCAGGCAGTTAACTTGGCTGAACTGAAACTTTAAACTCTGAAGTAGGTGGAAGTTGAAATGTTCTGTTAGCCTTGGCTGCACTGCTTGGAGTCTGTTTCATGCGTGGGTTGCCCAAGGTCCAGCCAGAGGTTTAGGGAAAGTTTACATATATAATTTGAGGCTTCACATCTGTGGTTCTCACTTCTCAGTATTCTCTTCATCCTTTGCTTTCCAGCTATTGTGATTGCTGTAAATTTTGCCCTTGGGTTCTTTAAGTCAATAAGAGTGAATGTGTCTATCCCAATGTAGGTCAACCACATGTTGAAGGTAAGGTTTGCCCTAAGGCCTCATGCTGTAAAATGTGGGGGAATTCACTCAGGGAAATTTCCTTCTTCCAAGTGTAGAACCCCCTTCAATTTCTGCCTAGCTTTGATAACTGTCCGGTGTATAGTTGTTTTCTAAGAAAGTATTTTGTTGGATAATGACTATGGTACAAAATAGAACCATGTTAAAATCAACTTTTGTCCTGTCTTTGTTTAGCACATCTTTTAATTATTGTGATAGTTGAGGCACATTGTTCTGTGGTTATAAGCAGAGACACACTTGTTGGGTTCAAATATCAGCTCTTTCACTATATGTGTGACTTCTTTGTTTCTCATTTACAAAATGGAAATAATTTCATAGAATTGTTTTTGGGCGCAGTAATGATATAGAAAAAAATCAAATTTGGTTTCTTCAATTATTCTTTCACAGCACAGAATACTTCTTTGACCAGATGTGTGGGGTTTCTCCCCTCTCACCCCACCCCTACCTTCCCACCTCACCCCCAGCACAAAGCAATTTTCCAGCCCCAAATTCTCCAAGAGACACTGAGTGTTCTAAAATTCAACTCAGTTCTGACACTATCAACCTGGCGGTAGTCTCAGATCCCACAGATTGAGGGTCCAGTCCCGTAAGACTGCCCCCACTTCAAATGCCAGTCGCAAGCACTGGTTGTGGCCCATGTTTCTAACCAACCAGCTATAAATTGGGATTCCCATAACCCCCTTTTCTGGTTCAATGAATTTGCTAAAGTGACTCACAGAACTCAGGGAAACACTACTTATATTTACCCATTGATTGTATAAAGGATATTACAAAAGATACAAGCGGACTGTCAGATGGAAGAGATGCATAGGGCAAAGTATATGGGAAGCAGCATAGAGCTTCCATGCCCTCCACAGGTGTACCACCCTCCAAGAACCTGTATGTGTTCAGCTATCTGGAAACTCCCCAAAGTAAGTCCTTTTGGGTTTATTATGCAGGCATAATTGATTAAGTCATTAACCATTGGCGATCATCTTAACCTTCAGACCTTCTCTCCTGACTGGTGTTGTGGTGTGGGCTGAAAGTTCCCAACCTCTAATCCCACTATGGTCTTTCTGGTGACCAATCCCCATTCTGAAGCTACCTAGGGGCTGCATCCATCACCCCATTCACATACAAAGAACACTCATTACTCCAAAGATTCCAAGAGTTTTAGGGCTTTTTGCTACAAACCAAGGGGCCAAGACCAAATGTATACTTTACAATTACGCAGCACTAAATGAAATACTATTTGTGAAGTGGCTAGGATAGTGACTGGTACATAACAGATATTCAAACATTAATTACTGGCTATTGTTAATGTAAACATTCTTTTTTAAAAAAATGTTACAGATTATACAATCTCTACCTATGGAACTCAGGCCACTAAAATTCACAAATATCTATATTTGGCCATCTTTAAAGTCAAACCTTGTACTATTCCCAGTTTACAATCTTCCTTGGAAGAATTAAAGAAAACAGATAAACATATCAATGTGCTTAGGGCCACCTGCCTTTGAGAAATGACTGAAATTTCGCCTGCTGGAAATCAATTACTAAAATTTTATGAAATTTTCTGCCTCTGATCAATTATTTTATGTGGCTGACTAAGCTGTCTGTATGCTTTTTAGTTGACTAGACAGAAAACTTGGATGTGGATCAGATCCATGCATCCTTCCATCAAAAGAGCAAGCTTACTTTCTTGCATCTGGCCGCATGACTTTATGCTATCCTATTTTCACTTCCAAAGTCAATGTTACAGATACTGATGAAGTTAGAAATTTAGAATTTTAAAATAATTTTATAGTTTTTAAGGTTGCTTTTTCCAATCAAAAATAAGTGAAAGTCAATCAACTAATGAATCCCCTCTTTCTCTTTATTTGGACCACCTCTAAGTGTCCATTTGCACAGGGCCTATTTTTGCAGACATGTTAATAGAAAATACTGACTGCAGAGGAGAAAGTAAGCCTGTCGCCTTTTTTCATCTTCTGCAGCTGCCTCTAGCTGCACATCCAGAGCTTTTAAAATTTAGGGGTATTATGGAAATTATAGAACTTGTGAAGGGATGCCTCAGGGAAAAAAAAGTTATAAACTTCACAAGACTCATGAATCATAGGCAAAATTTATTCAGAGTAGAAACTTCCATGTTATTCAGACATCACATCAACAGAGCTTCCTTTGCAGAGCCTTTCTAGCCTGAAATCCATACCATTGCTGAAACCATATATGTGCCCATCATTTTCCTGCATTGTATTCCTCTAATTTATGTTTTGTCCCTCAGGCAAGGATCAAATGGGGTTTTTCAAATGTTGGTAAAGAGTTTTCACATATTGTCATCTTATAAATATAAATTAATAATAATAGTAATAATGATAACAATGCTCTATTACAAAACGGATATTTACAGTAAGGCATTAAAAGCAATTTAACAGAAAACCTCAAGATTTAGCATGAAGCAATGCTTAGCAGAATATTACAAAAGCTACCAGTGCCTCTAGCTATAATATTTTATTCAGTTCCGTAAGTTTGAAAGCTCTTTTTTCCCCAATAAGAACTGGGAAGTGCTGTCGAATTGCTTTACCTCACTTTTATTGCTTTCCCTTTCTAGAGATGAGGATTGATGAACAAAACCTTCCTTCATTTGTAGTTGAATATTTATACCCAATATTTTATTTTCTTCTTTCAAATAATTTTAGCCAAACTTCTCTTGAACTAAATTAAAAAGCAGAATGCAAATTGTCTGTATATTGTGGTTGCAATTATGTAAAAATATGACTGCATATAAATAAAGGACTGGAAGGGAATACACAGAAATTACTTTAATTATATAAGTATGATGGAAAAGACAGGAGTTTCATCCCCATACATAAACCGTTTAAATTTTATGTAATATTCTGTTATTGTTTGTACAATAATATTTTATTTTTTTAAAAGTTTCCCCACTGAGGCTGAGACAGGAACAAATGCAGACCCGTCAAATTAGGTGATTTTAAAATTAAATCATTTCTTCTACTTTTCAGAAGCCCCTACTCCTAGCTTCCCTACCCATTCCTCTTCCAATAAGTTGATACGGTTATTCATTGAACTGAAGTTTTTATTGAGCACCTAAAGTCCATCAGCTCATGCGGATGCAGTAGCCGCCATGGCAGGCTATCATCTGATTTCCGCCTAAGTTTCCCCCCACATCAACTGATTTTCCCCTAATATTTTTGCTGACTTCCAGTGATTGTCCCAACTCTGCCACTCCTTTTTATGATTAGTCTAGTTCCTTTCCTGTCATTACCAAATCTCTCATCCAAACGATTGTTATAGAACCAAACCAGGTCCATTTACCCGTGAGCAATGGAAAGGTAAACATGAAGCCTGGGATTTTTGTAGAGAGAAAGGTTTATTGCAAAACGGCCAAGCAACGTGACAGGAGATGGGCTCAAAACTGTCTTCCTTGTACTGGCTTGAAAGCCATATTTGTAAAAGAAGGATTTGGAGGAAAGTGTTTCAGGGTAGATTAGTGATTGGCCAGGGAACGGGGATGTTTGGAAAGTCCCTTGCCCATGTGCAGTTGCCTCTTCATGGGTGGCATGTGAAAATTTAGGGGGAGTTAGTATGAAACTTGGGGCGGAAGTTCAGACGGTGACGTCAAAAGATCACCCCGTGGCCCGGCAAATCCTTGCGCGAGCTCCAGTCGGTCATATTGGTTCTGGCGGGTTTCAGCTGGTCCTGTGGTCTCATAGTGGACATCCTGCAAAATAAACACAGAGATTTTGTTAATCAACAGTCCCTTTTAAACCAGTTCTTTGGTCTATTTAACCCTGTGAGGCACAGTTTCACGATCTTTAAAGAAGGATCTTGTGCTCAAAATGTAACCCCTAACCTCTCCAAACTTTCCTCTCCTCTGAAAAACACCAAAGACATCTGCGACCCACGCACCGTGGCCTTTCCTCCTTGCCTGGTGTCGCTCATTGCAGAGAGACATTTCACCGACGGAACCAACTGCTTCCTCTTAAACCTCTGCTCTTTTGTCACACTAAATCTACTTTTCCTTGCTGATTTGAATGACAACTCTCATTTCTTAGTCCCCTACTTTTTTTCCTTTATTATACCCTACTTTTGACATGTCTGTTTCTCAAAAATTCTTTGAAATTTTTCTATCGTCTCTCATCTGCTGAGACAATGCTTAAAATGATCATTATATATCTATATATGATTGTATATGCTATATGTGGTATAATGTCATATATACACCATCATAACAGCTAAATTCTGTAGAGGGATTATTATATGCCAGGTTCTGTATTAATAAGTACAGACTTTGTTTCCATGATTTTATTTAATTCTTATAGCAACCATAAAAGGCAAAAATGCCTTTTTTTTTTCTTTTGAGAAAACCTCTGAGCTTAAAGAGATAGAAACATTTTCCTAATGCAGCATTGTTGTGAATGGAGGAAATAGGCTCCAACTTCAAAAGTGTCTGAGGACAGAGCTCACCTTCCTAGCTGCTGGGCTATGCCCTGACTGCATTACTCCAACTCCCAAGTCTGACCTGGCTTCGCTGGTAAATTGTTTCCCATCATTTCCACCCCATCCAAATATCTGCTAGTCTTTTCCACAAAAATGACACACCAAGACCTTATTATACACAACATTTAAGATGACAAGTGTTCTTTCCCTAAAATATTTTCTTTAATTTATCCGCTTATTTCAAGGTCATCATCACTGTAGTCCGTATTCAAAACAAAGCTCTTTACCTCTGGCCTTTCCTTCTCTTCTGTCACCCACATCTACAAAGTTACCAAGGTTTGTGGCTTTTTTGCTTCAAAGCCTCTGCCAGTTTGCCAGAAGGAATACACACGAACACATATGTACAGATATATATGCAACAGCAAAAACCACTTGCAAAAGATTTTTTCTAAGAAACCATATGTAAAAACAGATGAGAAATATCCTTAATATCAATGCACATAGAGGGAATAAAGTCATCAACTAAGAGAAAAACAAATTGTATCAGAAAACAAAACTAAAATGTGTATGTGTGTGTACGAAAGCCACACAAAGTAAAATTACTTAGAAAGACTAAAGGTAAAGTGCGTAAAAACTACCAAACAAAACAAATAAAAAGAAATCAGAAACTCTTTGTTCCAGGCAAAAATACAAGGCAAAAGCATGAAATAAAACAAAAAATAGGCCGGGCGCGGTGTCTCATGCCTGTAATCCCAGCACTTTGGAAGGCTGAGGCGGGCGGATCACGACGTCAGGAGATCGAGACCATCCTGGCTGACATGATGAAACCGCTTCTGTACTAAAAAAAAAAATACAAAAAAAAAATAGCCAGGCGCGGTGGCGGGCGCCTGTAGTCCCAGCTACTCGGGAGGCTGAGGGAGGAGAATGGTGTGAACCCGGGAGGCGGAGCTTGCAGTGAGCCGAGATCGTGCCACTGCACTCCAGCCTGGGCAACAGAGCAAGACTCTGTCTCAAAAAAAAAAAAAAAAAAAAAAAAAAATACACTTTGCAATGATTTATGTGAATGGTCCTCAGTTACAATAAAGTGTATACCTGAAAAGAATATATGAAGCTGGAAAATTTACGAAGAAAAGAGATTTGATGGGCTGACAGTTCTGCAGGCTATACCAGCACAGTACCAACATCTGCTTGGCTTCTGGTGAGGCCCTCAAGGATCTTTTACCAGTAGCAAAAAGTGAAGTGAGAGCAGGCACATCGCAGGGCAACAGCAGAAGCAAGAGAGAGTGAAGGGGAAGGTGCCATACTTTTAAACAGCCAGATCTCCCAAGAACACACTATCACAAGGGCAGCACCAAGAAGATGGCATTAAACCATTTATGAGATATCTGCCCCCATGATCCAGTCATGGGGCCCCACTTTCAACATTGGAGATTATAATTCAACATGAGATTTAGAGGAGACAATATCCAAACTGTATCACAGAGTGTCTCTCTGTCACCCAGGCTAATGTGCAGTGGCCAGATCATAGCTCACTGCAGCTTCAAACTCCTGGGCTCAGGGAGGCTCCTTCTGCCTCAGCCTCTTGAGTAGCAGGAACTACAGGCATGTGCCAATGTGCCACAGTGCTTTGCGAATTTTCTTTCCTTTTTTTTTTTTTTTTTTCAGAGATGGAGTCTTTCTATGTTTCTCAGGCTGGTTTCAAACTCCTGGCCTCATACAATCCTCCTGCCTCAGCCTCTAGACTAGCCAGATTGTAAGCACAAACTACCACGCCCTGATCAAGTGTGTATCTTCTACAGCCAGTCCTCCATCTCATTTGGATTTTTCTGACTTTATGAGATATTTTCTTAGCTGCCCTGACTCCAGTTTTCCCTGTTTCCAGAAGAGTTTTACATAGGACATTCAATGTCCTATAACACTAACCTCCCCCTCCAAGGCAGCACAGCACAAAGGCTGTGAGAACAGGCTTTCAAGCCAGAGGCCTGAGTTCAAATCCCAGCTCCAGTACTTACTGTCTTTATAAACTGGACAAGTTACTTAACCCTCTGTGCCTTAATTTCCTCACAGGTAAACAGTGGACCTAACTCACAAGGATCTAAAAAAAAATTAAATAAATTAGTATTGGTAAAATTCTTAGAAGTACCATGTAGATATATAATAAGATATAAATAATTGTTATTGTTAAATAAACATGTATGCTTCTGCTATGATTTAACTGTACCCTCCAAAACTCAGTTGAAATTTAATCCCCTATGTGGCAATATTCAGAGGTGGGGCCTTTAAGATGTGATTAGGTTACAAGGGCCCTGACCTCATGAATAGATTAATCCATTTATGAATTAATGGGTTCATGGATTAATAGATTATCACAGGAGTGGAACTGGTGGCTTTGTAAGAAGCGAAGGGGGACCTGAGCTAGCACACTCAGCCCCCGCACCGTGTGATGCTCTGCGCCACTTTGGGATTCTTCAGAGCTTCCCCATCAGCAAGAAGGCTCTCACCAGAGAGGGGCCCATGGCCTTGGACTTCCCAACCTCCACAACTGTAAGAAAGTAATTTATTTTCTATGTAAATTACCCAGTTTCAGGTATTCTGTAAGAAGCAACAGAAAATGGACTAAGACAGTTGCTGGTTAAACAACGTCTGTGAGTAAAAGTAAATATGAGTTCATCAACCTGAAACCAAGCCCTTTGTTTTTTCAGAAGACAGTCTGTTTTCCCAGCATCACACCCCAGTTTTCCAGCATTATATCCCTCAACCTCACTGTAAATGCTGCTAAATCAGACAGCTCACCCAGTGGACCTGACGACTTTCTTCTTCCAGCTCCTTTGCAGTCATTCAGTCTGCAATGCCTCCCCATCGTCTCTGCCCACACATCCTTTAAGCCCTAGCTCAAGTGCCACTTCTATCTGAAAGCCACTCCATGATCATCCCTGTCGGAGACCATCTAGGCCTCCTTGAAAATTGTATTGCTCTTTGTTACTGTCCTATGGGACTTATGGACTATGTGACAAGAATGTCACATTTTTGTTCCATTTTTTGTTTTCCTAAATTTTAAGCTCAGTGACTGAGAGGATGTGCTCATTCTTCCTTCATAAATTCCACTGTTTCTGATACAGGTTTTAAAATTGCTCCACGTTCTGAAACATAGTTTGAATCACTGAAGGAAAAGAATTTTTCATGTACTAAAACAGAGCAAACATGTTTTTACGTCAATAAGTTTCTAAACCCTTATCCAATAATGCAGCTCAATGTTAATCAGCCATGCCGCCTCATTTGTTATTTAGGAAAATTTTGTTATAGTACTTTTCTGGTTTCTTTTTTTCTCTTGTCATTGACAAAAAGATTATACCTTTGTTCTATACTATAACATAGTTAAAGGGTGCAAGCAAGATGTATAAAAAGCATTGAATCCTATCTCTACCGCTGGTAGCTCTCTGCTCTTGAGTGTTATATAACTTCTCTGAGCCTGTTTCTTCATGTGTAAAATAAAGCAATACCATGCAAGATTAATGTCAAGATTAAATAAGACTTCTGTAATGTATTTGGCCCATAGTAAGAATGCAATAAAAGATAGCCAATAAGAGTAGTTGTAATAATAATAATTTTCCTTATAGGCTTTGTTATATTACTGTTTTATTTTCATTTTATTTTATTTGGATTTTTACATCACCGAAGGCATGATTTATTTTCTCTATATTGACAGTAAATTTACAGGGCTGATGCTGTGCTTACTTTCACTTCAGAGTCCTTACTTGTAAAATCTTCTTATAAAGGTAGATCACATTTTGGGAGTTATCACTTAGCCCATTCATCTTCCTAATGGTTTAAAGCATCACATATCACAACTCTATTTCTTCTCATGCTAATAATATTCTTTCCCTGTAGCTATTCTAAATATTCTATAGGATCATCTACCAGATGATGAGTGTAGCATCTGATAACATAGGCAGCTCCATGACAATATATGTTTGTGTTATCCATGATTAATGTATGATGTTTCAGTAATACCTGGGAAGTAATTAATCAATAGGACAACTTCTGAAATGCTTTCCTTTCTCCCTTTTACATAAGTCCTGCTCCTTCCCCGTCTCTTTCTCTCTATCATCAGTTTTCTTTCTCCCTATTCACGTCCTTACTCCGCTTTCACTCAAAATGGTGGCCATGACCAACTGACCTGATCTCTTACCAGGACTTTCAGCTTCTATTTAGGGCCATGGTTACGATACTTGCTTTGTCTCAAACACTTCCAGTTTCAACCAAAAGGATCTTGAATTATTCTGCAGGAAGCTAACAATTACTAGTTTCCATAGTTCATGTACCTATTGAGAGATATCACCATCTCTCATAACCTCTTCTGTATCCTCTGGTCTCCTCACCATTGTTTAGGTTTTGTGGAGGCTCAGATGCATGATAGGAAGATTTGGAGTTTTGCACTCAGCTGGCCTGGGTCAAATTGAAGCTCTACTCTTTGCTTGCTTTGCCTCTTCAGCTTTACCTTATTGGGTGTCCCTATAATGAAGCAGTTCATCTATAAAGTGGGAATGAACATAGCCACCTCAAAGGGTTGCAAGGATCAGGGATAATGAATGTACAACACTCAGCCCAGTGTCAAGCTTATACAGGGAGGTCAGTCATCCAGGGTCTAACCAGCACTGTGCTATGATAAGCAGCAGCCATCTAGCCTGAAAAACAAATCACCTTTAACAATTTTGTTTCCATGGGAAAACACGTTTTGAGTTGTAAACAACTAATTTATAGACATGTTGGAAACACAATTAAAATATCACATGCTGGAGTCTAGACAGGCCTGATCTGTGAGTTATGTGCAAATAATATATGCAACATAAAATAAACTGTTAATTTTTTATTATTTTGCTTCATTTGAAGGATAATTTCAGTATTTGAAACAGCTGTAGGAATAAAGTTAGTTATTGAAGTAAAAAGACTAATTTTTCACTTAGCTTTCCCTAAGGAAAACAGGAGAGCTGCTCTTGGTAAACATTTACTAATGGGCCTTTGGACTCAAGGGTGTGAAGATACATTAAATTACTCAGGGCTTATCCTTTAGAAGCGGGGAAAAAGTGAGATGTTGATTTTTCACACCCAGAAGACTGGGAAGGCATTCTGTGGTAGTAGAAGTTACCTTGTCCAAATGACTTTTCAGAGATATTTTTATTACACTATAAAACTTGACATTTAAATTCATGGGCCTAACAAACCAAAAGATGTTTATGCCTACCCACTGATACGAAAGTAAATTAGCAAACTGACTAAAAGAAGAACAACAGCCACACTTTGTCCCAAGCAAAAGAAAACTAGCAATGAGACATGTAATGTGTAGAATGCTTGATAAAATGCAAAGCAGCATAGTCATTTACCCATTCTTGAAATTAACAGCGTATTTATTCACCACCAACTCTGTGCTGTGCACTGCACTGGATGCTCAAAATTTCTGAGAGCAAAATGGACAAGTTCCCTGTCCTCGTGAAGCTTACAAACTCATGAGAAAGGCGAATAATACACACAGTAAGCATACCATTGGGATAAAGCAGTTAAATCATATGCAGAGGAAATTGCTTGTTCTGCCACCGCAAGAAAGGTGATCAATTCAAAAATCAGAAGATTAAGGGTAGAGGTAGGAAATAACTGAATGCCCACATATCAGAGATCCAAAAAGCCTTTCATCAAAAGTTGGAAGTGAAAACAGTTTGTGTCAGAATCCCTAATGCCTGCCTTTCCCCTTTGTCCAACTCAGGCAAGCACAGCACTACATTCAAACTTCACCTGCAAATGCTCATTAAAACGTCACCTCAGAACTATCTACCTCATGTAAAAAATGTGCATTCACAGTAGAGTGACTAATTGCTTAGAGTGGTTTAAATTTTTACTGAATAAAATTCCTAAATTAGGATAGAGTGAACACAGAATTTTACAGAAGTACTAGGGAAGACAGAATATTGTGATGGCCCCTGCTGGTTGGTAGTGTCTAGACCTCAGTGAGATGCTGTTATGGATAAATATAGCTAACTAAAAAGTACAACGACTAGATCCGGTTTCCTGCGATTAAGAGTTTTTCCACAAATTATGGAGAAAAAATATACTTGGCTAAAACTATAAGTTTGAAGGGTTTCATTTCTTGGCTAATTAGCATGATTGTAAGTACAAAATGTTTTGCTGGACAAAGTGTGTTCTTTGAGTAAAAGCAACGATTAGCCTCAGAAATTAGAAAACTGTCCCATCTTGTACATGTCCTTCCACAGTCAACCTTCTGATCTGCTGGCTTTCACTCCCTTCTCATGCCTTTTCTTCAAAGCTCTGCTTCTCCAAGAAATTCATGGAGGGCAGTGACTCGCCTGAATCCTACCTTGTGGATAGAAGCCCTGTCCTCCATTCTACAAAGATGAGCCGTTCAACACACGTAGGGCAATCGCCAGTGAAGACAAATCCTTCCAGTGCGTATGCTAATATTTGCACCTGCCTTCATAATTAAGATAATTATATGTTTTTATTAAGGAAAACAGTTGGATTCCACTTTAATTTGTTCTATGCCCAAGAACAAATCTTTTGGTGGCAGCACCAGCACAAAACTAAATTTTGGTTAAACAAATCAGCATGACTCACAGTGGCCTAGAGTGGCAATTATTCTAATCGTGTTCCCTTGGAGAAAGTTTGTGCTACTTGGTTGGACCAAAACTCGTAGTTGAATGAATGATTCCTAAAATACTTAATTATACAGGCAAAGGCTAATATAGTGGTAGCCAGTTATTGGAACTGTCCAAATTATAGACGAGAAACAACTTAGGCACAGATATAATGCTGCTCAACAGAGTAATAGAAACGTTTATCTCTAAAAATTTTTAATCTCCAGAATGTTGATTGTGGTTAACAAGATTTACGCTTGCTCTTGGGGACCCTACATCTAAAGGCAGTGAAATGAACTAATCCATATGTTGCACATTCATTAAAACCAGGCAGTGTCTTGCAATTACAAATTAAATTGGTACATCTGGAAAAGGAATACTGGGATTTACAGGTTTTTGTGATTTTTCCTTATCATAAAATAATGAAAATTGTGGTTCTGATTTTTATTTGATTAAAGGAATTATTTCATTGTTCTGATTGGAAAGGTATGCAAAACTTTCGGAATATGGACATATGGATCAGCTTTGCTAATGGTGTCTGCTAATTTGGCATTGTTAACAGTCTGCTTTTTCCCCAGTGTACATATTTTTAGTTAGTCAGAAAGAATTTAGGTGAGCAGTTTTTCTTTAATTTCTGCTTTTTTTTTCCAGAGGGCTTTTTACTTAAAATGTGTTGAGAATTTTTGTTGCTATTATGTCTGTCTGAACTTTCTCAAGTAACACAGTTTTTATGTGCTATTTGGATAAAGACATTTGAAAATCCCTCTAGAATAGTTCGGTTTGGGAAACATCCTATAGACATGATTTGCTGGAGGCAAACTAACATTACAGATTAAAAGTCTACACCAAGACAATAGAAAAAAATCATAGTTTCTTCAAATCAAAAGGGAAAGATATTTTTAATCTTTTTTTACCAAGCCTGAAAGACCTATTTAAAGCTTTGTTGGAAATGAAAGCACACCATCACAAACCTAGTAAGCTATCACTCTTTACCCATTTGTTACATCCTCTATTTGCACACATGTCCTAGGTACAGGTATTTGCTGGAAATGTACAGAAATCTCTTCCACAGTAGGTTGGCTGACTTATGCAAAGCAACCATAGTAGTGGTCCAGGAAAATGAATAAAACAAAACAAAGCAACCGTGTCTCCAAAATGGACATTCTGTAAACTCTCATTGATTGAAAAACATTTCTTATAACCTGCCTTCTGGAGCAGATTTCCTGCTTGTATATAAATAATCATGGGGAAAGCAAAATCCAGTGCTGTCAAAAACAAACAAGCACCTTTTAAAAACTCCCTAGTAATTTCTACAGAAGTTTTAGTAGTTGTTAAAGCTGATCTTTGTTGCATCCCCAATTATTTCAGAAGCGTCAATCAGACACTGCAGTGGAGTCTTCCTTGACTTGTGTTACCTAAATTACAGTCAAGAGTCATTTGCTTGTCTTACATTCAAACAAAAAAAGATTTGATATAATCTTATTTTCTAGTTGAAAACAACTTTTTACATTTTTCATATTGTTGCAGAGGCTAACATTTTCAATGTGTTTCTCTAACAAACACTCATCCTTTTTTGTCTCATTCAGATATCATAAATTCTGTTAACAAGATCCATGTAATGGCTATATCAATCAGAGGGTTCCACACTTATATGGAAGCATCTACTCCTTCTAGAAGAAATATTTAATTTTACCTTCTGAATTCTCCACTTAGGTAGAATAAAAGGTAAAATGAACTTGTGGCCTCAAATCAAAGTGGGTGGAACCTGAGCAAAGTATTCAGGAGCAAATTCAAGGCATCTTGGCATCTCATGCAATGCTTTCATAATTGGGCAACATTATTGACCCAAGTCCTGAAAACAAAGTTAACCCTATAAGATTGTGGTTAATAACAGCTGTGTCCATGGTGTAACCTGGGTTTAGGGGAAGAGAATAGAGAAGAGAAACAAGGAGCAGGGAGCCCGTTCCAAAGTGCTTCTTTGAGCAGCCTTTAATGACGTTAGCTTCCTTTTCTAACTTCCCTGAAATTCCCATTAATAGAGTCACAATAGCAAGCTCTGTGTTCCCTTATTGAGCCAAGACATCAAAACATTTACCCATCATAAAAACATGTCCCATACTCAGCAGGCACACCCCAATAGAGGCATACCAGTAGTTACATACTGAAGTCAGGAACAGCCATCCCACAAGGCACCCCAGCCACCACAACCGTGCTCTGGCCCCACGCAAGAGCTTCCAGAAACCAGTCTAGCTTCCTGCCTCCAGTGCCTTGCTCAAGCCCAGTGGGTGTCATCATTTCATAATGGTCAATGGCCTGGCTCTAACGGTTGTTAAACATTTTAAATATTTTCCCTGATTAAAGGCAAGGATTTTTCCTCCCGAAAGTTGGAAGAGGAGAAGATCTTTCATTTTCCCATCTCTCCTTAGCTTATGAACATGGGTAGGCATACAGATATTAAGCAGTCTCAAAGGCCCAGTAGACCTGACTCTGGAGAAAGGAGAATCTTGGGCAGGTGATTTTTCTAAGTAATCTACCCAGGGATGATGGCAGAGGGCACAGGGCGCTTACCAGCGAAGGCAGCCTTAACACTCTTCTCCTGAGGAAGAAGTACCAGGGTCTCAGATCAGTATGTGCCTGCCTTAGTCTATTCTGGTGCTATAACAAAATATCATAGACTGGGTGGTTTATAAACAACAGATATTTATTTCTCACAATTCTGGAGGCCGGGAAGCCCAAGATCAAGGCAGATTCAATATCTGATGACGATCAGCCCACTTTCTGGCTCATAAACAGCCATATTCTCACTGTGTCCTCACACAGAGGGAAAGAGCTGTCTCTCATTTATAAGGGCACTAATCCCATTAATGAGGGCCCCACCCCATGACTTAATCACCCCACAAAGGCCCCATCTCCTAATACCATCGTTCTGGGAATTAGGTTTAAATATATGAATTTGGAGGGGACACAAACATTCAGACCATAGCAATAACAAAAGAATTGGGGCCCTGGATGAGTTGGCACTGGGAGAAGGTAGTATGTGGAGTGGTCCAACTCAGGTAATAAAGGAGAAATACACCATGAGCAAACTTGGCCTACTTTATTATTTTTTAGGAGCTAGTCCACATTAATGAAAAGTTCTAATAGAAAGTTCCATTTCTTTTAAACAGTTTCCCTTTGACCTGCACAATGTAGTTCACTTATCACTGTCTTTCCCACCTTCAGCACAGTAAATATGCTCCTGCTTTGTTGAATTATAATTTATGCGTTGCCCCCTTCTGGCTCTGAGGTCCTTATGGTTCAAGATGGCATTTTAGTATTTCTGTGTATCCAGAGCCCCCCACAATGTTTGCATACAGTAAATTCTTCATGCATGTCAGTGAAATACTCATGAAGAGCAGCAGGGAGCTGACAAGGAAGTGGGATGTCAGGAAGAGGCTTCTTTGAATGAATAGATGATGTGTAGGTTTTTAAGTTTTCTTGGAAACACATTCCCCCTCAGTGTTTTCAAGTTCTTTAGTGACCTTGTGTGTGTGTATGTTTGTGTGTGTTTGTTTGTTTTGAGATGGAGTCTCACTCTGTCCCCCAGGCTGGAGTGCAGTGGCGAGATCTCGGCTCACTACAGCCTTTTCCTTCCCAGTTCGAGCGATTCTTTCACCTCAGCTTCCCAAGTAGTTGGGATTACAAGCACCAGCCACCACGCCTGGCTAATTTTTGTATTTTTAGTAGAGACAGGGTTTCTTCATGTTGGCCAGGCTGGTCTCAAACTCCTGATCTCAAGTGATCTGCCCACCTCGGACTCCCAAAGTGCTTGGATTACAGGCTTGAGCCACCACACCCAGCTTGTAATCTTTGCCAAACCAGAATGCAAATGTGATTTACTCAGCAAGATAGTGAGATTTAATCCTTTTCTGTTTTTTTAGAAATACAGGATTAGAAGACAACAAATGGCCAGGTGCGGTGGCTCATGTCTATAATCCCAGCACTTTGGGAGGCTGAGGCGAGCAGATCACTTGAGCTCAGGAGTTTGAGACCAGCTTGGGCAACATGGCGAAACCCCATCTCTACAAAAAAAAAAAAAAATACAAAAATTAGCCAGGTGTGGTGGGGTACACTTGTAATCCCAGCTACTTGGGAGGTTGAGGTGGGAGAATCACTTGAGCCAGGAAGGCAGTGGTTGCAGTGAGCCGAGATCGCGCCACTGCACTCCAGCCTGGATGATAGAATGAGACCCTGCCTCTAAAAAAAAAAAAAAAGGAAGAAGAAAAAAAATGATTTCTTATTATGATATATGTATACACAGGCAATACTCTCCTTGCCCTAAGCTTCCCACTATGTAGAGCAAGACCTTCAACAAAAAAGAGACAGACCCAGTTCACAGTGCCTTGAAGTGTCTTTGAAAAGTTAGCCCCAGCTGGGCACAGTGGCTCATGCCTGTAATCCTAGCACTTTGGGAGGCCGAGGCAGGTGGATTGCCTGAGCTCAGGAGTTCGAGACCAGCCTGGGCAACATGGTGAAATCCCATCTCTACTAAAGTACAAAAAAATTAGCTGGGCGTGGCGGTGTGCACCTGTAATCCCAGCTACTCAGGAGGATGAGGCAGGAGAATTGCTAGAACCCAAGAGGCAGAGATTGCAGGGAGCCGAGATTACACCATTGCACTCCAGCCTGGGTGACAGAGCGAGAGTCCATCTCTAAAAAAATAAAAAATAAAAGTTAGCTCCAAGAGAGAATCCCATTGTAGTTTAATAAGATATAACACATCTCCTGAAATTTTATAGGAAAATATCTCTCTTTCACTTACTTGGCGATGAGGATTAAGATCTGAATCCTTCAACCACCAGTAAACTACCAGAAAAGATGCTTCTCCTATACGCCTCCTATGCCAGCAGGACAAGTGGACACAATGGGAATGGAGAATATATGCTCACATGTGATGAGGTCATGGCTGCCCCCATGAGGAAAAACAGTTTTGCTGTCCCCTCTAGATACCAAATCCACGGACTTGCTTCCAGTTGATTTTGAGTTCCAAAAATCATGACCTCTGAGCTGCCCACATCATTCAAAAATGAATGCAGAGGAAATGAGTGCAAGAATATTGGCGATGACTGGTATTAATGTTAAAATATATACCAAGGAATACCCATTCAGAGAAATGCTCCCAAGGCTCCTTTTCAAACACTGGGTGATTTCCCAGTGACTAAGAGCACATTTAAGGCTCTGAGAAGTCAGCACTAAGAAACTGTTGAATGCTATTTAGTCTGGTGTGAATGAAACAGGTCTGAGGAACCCTTCTTCTACATAACACCTAAGAACATTCCACAGATTAGAGTACTGCAAAATTCTCTCTGGAAAAGATTTACATGAGGAATGTCACTGGGTCTTGTTGCTCAATCATCAATACTGGTAGGACAAGAATTGAAAAGAGTGGTCATCACAAGGCCTTGTCCGTGAGGCAGAAGGTACTTGTTTAACGGGAAATTGAAGGTCTGGTGGTGCTATGCAGAAGGGATACCCTGTTCCTTGAATAACAACAAGCCCCACTTTTAGTTAAAGGGAAAGTTCATCTACCCAGTATCTGCTGCTGTTGGGACCCCTCCATACCCATGGAGGTTTCAACAAACATGAACTGAAGAGCACTCATGATATGCCAGATCTTGAGTTTGGGGCTGAAGATGGAGAACTGAAACAAGGTGTGTACGCAGGTCCCTAGTCCTACAAACCACCCTGCTGAGAGGACCAGAGTTCCTTCAATGTTGGAGCTTGAAGGGTCCATAAAAATCATCTAGCTTCACTTCTTCATGTTAGAAAGGAGACCAAGAGAGTATCTGTCAATTCCCTAAAGTCAAATAATGAAAAAACTAAAATTTACTTTTTCTCACTCTTGCTCAGGGTTCTCTCTACCAATTGACAAACTAATTTGTTGGCTCTTACAAACAGTGTGTATTACTTTGATTTAAGAGAAAAAAAGGCTGGGCGTGATGGCTTACACCTGTAATCCCAGCACTTTGGAAAGCCAAGGCGGGTGGATCACGAGGTCAGGAGATCGAGACCATCCTGGCTAACACAGTGAAACCCCGTCTCTGCTAAAAATACAAAAAAAAAAAAAATTAGCCTGACACAGTGGCGGGCACCTGTAGTCCCAGCTACTCGGTAAGCTGAGGCAGAAGAATGGCCTGAACCCAGCAGGCAGAGGTTGCGGTGAGCCGAGATCACGCCGCTGCACTCCAATCTGGGCGACAGAGTGAGACTCCGTCTCAAAAAAAAAAAAAAAAAAGAGAAAAAAAAAGAGTCTGTTTATAGTTAGAAACTTAATCAACTACTTAATCCATCACAGTATTCATAGAACAAGCTACTGAAACAAAAGATCACAATTTTTCTTCCTCAGTCTTGAAATACATGAGTTGACACTCATTACTGTATTACTACTAATTGAACACTTGCTTTGTGATAGGTACCGTGCTCAGCCTCTCACCCTCTGAATCACTATATATAGTAGATGGTATTATGACTACTTTACAGAAAAGGAAACTGAGGCAAAGGGAGGTCAAAACTGATGCTGAAGTTCTCATGAGATCTAAATTCAGTTCTGCCAGATTCTGAAGTCCATGCTTGTAGCTACAAAGCTACAGGTTCCTTAGAGAGAGACTTGGGTGAGGAATAGTGTTCCAACTGCAAACACATAGAGAATGACTTCTCTAGGATGTCACCAAAGAGAGATGGAACAGTGTGGTTCAACTGACATTATTTTACAAGTGAGGAAATTGAGATGAAAGGGAAATAGAAACAACTCTGGGGAAAAATGATTCACGTGTATGCTTTTCAAATGCAGAGACTAGATCACGTTTATCCTGTCCTCACTGCCTAGGGATAGCAATTGGGTGGCTGTTAAACAGGAGATAGGCTCAAAGCAGAGACTCAAGACACTCCTGAACAACAACAAAATATAGGAAATGAATTTCTTAGTAATTTGAAAATATCTGATTTCAGTTTTTAATAAACAGTTTTTAGAATGCAGCTGGAACTGAAAGTTCCTGAAATTTAAATTCTTTGGAATGTTTAGTTATCAAAGAGTTGAATTTAAGCCCTGCTTTCTTCTTTAAGAAAATAATTTAGATATCCTTGTCATGGGGATCCTGGATGAGACAGGATTTACTTTTCACACACAAATTAGTCATGCCATTGCCAGGTATCCCAGCATGATTTACAACAACACATTTTTTTAAGCGAAGCGATAAAAAGAAAAGTTTCCTTTATGCTGAGATTTCCAGTCATAACTTCCTATTTTAGTGACAAATCGAGTAGACAAAACTGATTGCCTGAATTACCTATCCAAGGAAAATTGTGCTGAAGTCCGTATGTCTCTGTCTGGGTTTGGAATTTGAGGAGTATCTAAATCTTTGTTTACTTTTCCAATTCATTTTATACCTGGCTGATTTGATGTAAAGATATCTCTGTTTTGTCTCAGATGTTATTCACTAATAAAATCATTACTAGGTGCTTTGTTTCCCCTCTACCAGGACTGAAAACTCTCCAGTTTTCTGAATTCTGCAAGGATGCGCCCCCCTCAGGCTGCTGCCCTGCTGGTAAATTAGCCAGGGCCTCCAGGGAACTCCCCAGGGTCTGGCTGCACAGAGGGACGATGACAGGAAGGTGCTGAGAATCCATTATTTATGATTTGAACAAAAAACGAAAATTAACACCTAAAATAGTAATTGCGCCATTTCTCTAACTTTACCAGCTAATCAAGTGTGGGAAGAGAGGCCTGTGATCACGTGTCTTGCTGCAGCAGCCTGCATTGCCAATGGAAAGAAATGCCGAGAAGAATTAAAGGACTCAAATGTAAAATAAGAAAAAGTATGAAAGGAAACAAAAGTCCAAAAGGTAATGTAAATGATAAATCAAGAGCCCTTGAGCACTGAACCATGTAAACCGTCAAGTTTCTAAACTTGCTGGAAATAGGAGAAGGAAGTTGTTGAGTGTTTGTGAGAATATGGAAGCTGTCAATAATCAAAAGACTCTGTTTTGATAGATGATCATTAAGGGAAAGTTCAAGATGAAGAAAGCACAAATAGAAGACACATATGTAATATGTACAAATGTGCAATAAAGGGAAATAGATAAGCAGTTACATTTTTTAAAACCCATATTCAGAATTCAGAAATGGATTATTTAAAGCACTGTTTTATTCCTCTTAAAAGAAAAAAAAAAGAAACAGCAAAAAGACTAATTTGCGCAGTTGAAAAGGTGAGAGAACAAGTTAAAAGGATTTCCAGAATTTAGAAGTAGAGCCAGTTTGATACAGCTTGATTAATACTTTAAAACCAGATATAAATGTATATTATATTTATACACACACATATATATTTCAAATCCTGTTTGAACTTATCATGGGGGTAGGATGCTGAGAGTCAAAATCACCCATAATCCTTCTTCATGGTGCTAACCACTTTTAATAACTTCTGTATACATTTCTAGATGTATAAATTAATACTAAATATGACTATAATGAAAGTCATTTTAAAAATATCTGAAAAAACATCTTTAATAATGAAATATTTTGTGAATATCTCCATCACTAATATTCTTATACAATATTATTTTTATGCATATATAATATTTCATTTCATAAAGGTATCAGTTTACATAATCTGTTTCCTGACTATGGGGTATTTAGGTCATTTCTATTTTTTTCCACTATTATGAACTAAACTGCGATGAATATTATTTTCTCTTAACCTATGAATAATTTTTTTTTTGAGACAGAGTTTAACTCTTGTTGCCCAGGCTGGAGTACAATGATGTGATCTTGGCTCACTGCAACCTCCACCTGCCAGGTTCAGGCGATTCTCCTGCCTCAGCCTCCCGAGTAGCTGGGGTTACAGGCTTGTGCCACCTCACCAAGCTAATTTTTGCATTTTTAGTAGAGATGGGGCTTCGCCATGTTGATCAAGCTGGTCTCAAACTCCTGACCTCGGGTGATCCACTGACTCCAGCCTCCCAAAGTGCTGGGATTACAAGTGTGAGCCACCACGCCCAGGTGCCTATGAATAATTATATCCTTAGAATAAAATCTTAGCTTTCTCAGAGGTAGGTCAAATATATTTTAGAATCTGCCGGGTGCGGTGGCTCACACCTGTAATCCCAGCACTTTGGGAGGCCGAGGCGGGTGGATCACAAGGTCAGGAGTTCGAGACAATCCTGCCTAACATGGTGAAACCCTGTCTCTACTAAAAATACAAAAAAAATTAGCCGGGCTTGGTGGCAGGTGCCTGTAGTCCCAGCTACTTGGGAGGCTGAGGCAAGAGAACGGTGTGAACCTGGGAGGTGGAGCTGGCAGTGAGCTGAGATCGCACCACTGCACTCCAGCCTGGGCGACAGAGCGAGACTCCGTCTCAAAAAAAAAAAAAAGAAAGAAAAAGAAAATAGTAACTTTATAGGTGGAGAAACTCAACAGACACCACCTTAACTAACTGATGAAAGTCAACCTCATCAACAATTAGACATATGCATGTCATGAACCTTATGATATAAGATGCACTGAGAAAGAAGCAACATCACTTTTTGGTATTCCTGTTCAAACTGCATAGCCTCTGTCCCCATCTGAGAAAATATCAGATGAATCCAAACTGAGGGACATTCTACAAGACAAATGACCGCATGCTCTCTGAAAGTGTCAAGATCATGAGACCTAAGGTGAGAATGAGTAACTAATAGAAACTGAAGGGGCCCCAGGTGAAAAGCAAAGCGGGGTCCTGCCTAGGTTGTCAGAATAGAAAGGGATATTAGTGGAAAAGCAGGTGAAAATTGAATAAGGTCTTTAGATAATAGTATTGCCCCAATGTTAGTTTCCTGGTTTTGATTATTTTAATATTGTTAAGTAAGGTGTGAACTTTAGGATAAGCTTGCTGAGGGGTATAGGCGAACTGTACAACTCTACTACTTTTGCTAACTTTCTATACATTTAAAATTGATCCACAAAAAAAGAAAGATTAAGATTTTTTAAAAGTTACAAGTACAATGGAATCTATCACTTTAATTATCACATTACCTTAAATAATCCCTTACTTCCTCAGTTATAGTTTTCTTATCAGTAAATCTAGGGTAACAGCTACATCACAAGCTTATTTTAGGGAATAAATAATATGTAAACTCTTGGCTCATTGTACAGGCTCAACAAATGCTTATTGAATTTTTTAAAAATTGTCTAAAATACTTCTTAAGGCAATGTATATTTTTTATCTGTAAACTGCAGAGTTTGATGCAAGTCTATTAAACCTGTATTTATTTTTTATCTACTTTATATGTTAAAGATAGAGAGGGGGTTGTCAAAACCTTCCTTTAATTTTCAATTTTTTAAAAATTTAAATTGCCCTTTATGATGTTATTTGGTGGTCAAATCTTCATGACTGTTCTAATCTTGAGTGTGTAATACATTTCTTTGTATGCTTCTTTCTCAGATATCAATAATGCTGTGGCTGCTTCCTTGTTATTTGTAATATCCTGGTGTATAGTTTCTGGTTTCTAATCCCTGTCATTGGAAGTTTGATTTTTTTGGCTACTAATTTATAATCAATTGTATAGTTAAGAAGTTAGTCTTTTGCCTGTCATGTATATTGAAAGTCTATTGTCATAATCTATCTTCGTTCTTCTGATTTGAACAGTTAAACACATTCCATGTCCCATGATACTGTTTTTCACTTTCATAGTTATTGAGAAAGGAAGTCCTTGTTAGCCATGTGTTGTCACTTGAACCACTTGAAATGGTTCTACCTGAGATTGGGTGGATTCTTATTCAACTCTTTCAAGCAGAAATCAGGAGATAAGGGAAAAGTTTAATGAGCATTTGTGGCCTGTCAGGAATCAGAAAGGAGGTCACCAGAGATGTAAGCTGTAACGGGGGCCAGATCGACTCTTTGTGCAGTCAGTTTGAAGTAGCAGCCTAGTCACAGCTGACTTCCTCGCTGGCTTGCATGCCTGCCATTAAATCAGTGCAGCCGAGCCTCTGTGTTTCTGTGCTGTCCATACCAGGTGCATCCCAGCAGTAAATGCTGAGGGCCTACTCCTCAGAGTGCCCGGTCCTTAGTGCCTGTGGGGTTTCCTGGGAATCTGGGAGATTCAATATGTTCTCCTCCCTTCTTGTCCAGTGATCTGCTCTCACCTCCCTCCGGGTCCCTACCATCCATTTCCATGGCCAACATTAGTTTCATCTTAATGTGAAACTCAAATTAGTCATTTTTTCCTTCACTCCAATCTTACCTGTGCTGTATCATCCAGAATTGTGTAGGAGACCTTCCTCGAGATGCCAGTCTAGGTTTAAATATTCCCCTAATGCTAAAAATACTCATGTGTCACTTAACAGTGGGGATACATTCTGAGAAATTTGTTGTTAGGCAATTTACTCATTGTGCTAACATCGTAGACAGTACTTACACACACCTAGATGGGATAGCCTACTACATACCTAGGCTATGTGGTATAGGCTATTGGTACTAGGCTACAAATCCATACAACATATTACTGCACTGCCTACTTTATTATAACACAATGGTAAGTATTTTGTATCCAGACATACCTAAACATAAGAAAGATACAATAAAAACTGTGGTATAAAAGATTTAAAATGGTACACCTGCATAGGGCACTTATCATGAATGGAGCTTGCAGGACTGGAAGTTGCTCTGAGTGAGGCTGTGAGTGAGTGCTGAGTGAATGTGAAGACCTAGGATATTACTGTATACTATTGTAGTCTGTATAAACACTGTACATTAGGCTACACTACATTTATTTATTTATTTATTTATTATTTTTATTTTTATTTTTATTTTTGAGATAGAGTCTTGCTCTGTCACCCAGGCTGGAGTGCAGTGGCGCGATCTCGGCTCACTGCAAACTCCGCCTCCCAGGTTCACACCATTCTCCTCCCTCAGCCTCGCGAGTAGCTGGGACTACGGGCACCCACAACCATGCCCGGCTAATTTTTTGTATTTTTAGTAGAGATGGGGTTTCACCGTGTTAGCCAGGATGGTCTCGATCTCCTGACTTCGTGATCTGCAAAGTGCTGGGATTACGGGCACGAGCCACTGCGCCCGGCCACTAAATTTATTTTTTAATGTAATTGTGCTACAACCTTATGATGCCTATAGTGTCACTAGGTAGTAGGAATTTTTCAGCTGAATTATAATCTCATGGGACCACTGTTGTATATGCAGTTCATAGTTGATTAAAACAACATTATGCAGTGCATGATAGTATCTTGTCTTAGGCTAGTGTTATTTCTAGGGAAGTAGAGGAGATAAATGTATGACCTTAAATGGTCACATCAAACTGAAAAAGAACACTTTTAAATTCCTAGAAACATCAAACATTGTCAGGTGACTAATGCTGATGGGATAAAACAAGGTTGAGACAATAAAAGTGATTTAACTCAAATATGTCATGGTTGTTGCTGGGATCCATTCTCTGTTTTAGTTAAGAAAGGTGGAAAGTAGAGGCATGAAGATGATGAAACATGGGGAGAGGAAGGAAGCAGGAGATTTGATTGTACATTTTTATTTCATTATTCCCATCTGTATGACTTAATTCCCCAAAGTTTACTTGAACTCTCAAAGTTGTTTTAGCTGAAAAATGGGGATAATAGCTCAACTCCTGCCTCAAAAGTCTGCTTCAGGGTTTAAATAAATTATTCTCTGTGAAAGTACTTTGTAAATTTTAAAATCCCTTTACAGTACTGAGGCATTGTACAACTCAAAAGGCCACCATTCACGTTGAAAATGGTGCCTGCTCTTAGAGCAAAACTCACGTAGAATTTGTGTAAAATACAAGGGGAACTGTAACTCCTGGAGTTACAGTTACGGTGGCCCTGAAACATGTTAAGCACCGTTACCACAGCTGTAAGTCAGATGTGGTAAATGAATACAGGATGAGGTGTTGTAGGTAAGATTTGATCAAAAGGAGACTATTGCATGAGAACATACCAGGTGGCAGAGAATCTAATGAGTGAATTCCATGGGGCAATTGGGAGGCATTTCAAAATCCTGTATCATTCCAAGACAGTGAGCCAGGGTGCTTGGTTACTGGACCAAACATCGTGGGAGACTGAGTTACTTGAACATGCAGTGGTTTATAGGGAAGGACTTCTAGTAACTGTTGGACAGAAACAATGAAGGGTCAAAGCTGTTGGCAAAGATTGAGCAAAACCTGGGCCTTCCCCAAAAGAAAGCCTCCAGCCTTGCTCCAGAAAGTTGGATCTGAGGACCAGCAGCGTAATCTTCACCTGGGTGCTTGTTAGAAATGCAGAATCTCAGGCTGCATTCCAGACCTACTGGCTCAGGATCTGATTTTAACACAGTCTGCAAGGAATTTGTGCACACCACAAGTGAGCAGCTCTAGTCTAGAAGGATCTCTTTATTTCAGGTCTACTATATTTGGTATTTAGAAGTAGTGATTAAAATGATGATGATTAGACACAATTTATTTGCATTTTGATAGCACATAATGCTTTTCATATACATTTCTCACTTGAATCTCATAGCATTCCATGAGAAAACCACTTATAGGATTTAGTTGCCTGGACAAAGTTAAGTGAATTGAACAGAGCTGACCACAGAAATGATCACCTTATTTATTTTTAAGCAATAGTTTATTGAAGTTAAACCTTCCTTTCTTCTTGTGACATCCCACGGGAAATTGCTTATATCTCTATTATAGTAATTTGCACAACCTGCCTTATGTCGAAGCTATTTATGGATGGTGATTATGATCCCATGCAGGGCCTGATATTTCCTTATGGTACCTGAAACATTACTTGGTTATAATGGGTGACCTCAAAACTCAAAATTGCTTTGAATATTCTATACCAGACGGAAGGATTTCCCTCTCCTGACAGTGCTCAAGTATGCTGCCAAGGAGGTCGTTTTTATTTTACTGATCTCAATAAGTAAGCTGTGGGAACTTCAAAGCTGCTTGGTAAGAGGCAATTAAATGTAACCAAGCCTTATCACATAGGGATATTTGTGAACATTTCATTTCCAAAAAGGCAATCCACCTCGAAAGTGCTAAAAAATAAGTTTTTGTTTCCTTTGACATGTCATTTCTTTAAGCAGTCTTCTTAACTCGCTGCTCTTCTGACCCCCTTAGTAGCAGATACAATTCATTTCTTATGCAGCCTGACAAAAAAGATGCACGGTGTATGGCACTGCATATCTTGACTTCATTATTTCCTCATAGCAAAGACTTGAAACTGTAATGTGTGAGAAGGAAAAGGTGCCAACATGACATTTACTACTGCTAATATGAATCTGATTAATTCTACAACAAGAAACATCATCTTAACTCTTTGTATTCTACAAGGAGTGCAACTATGGGAAGCAAAGGGGATAGTTTGACCGAATCACGCATATCATAGAATTCTTTGTGGGACAAAATAATAATGTAAACAATTCCTTGGCAAGAAGTGTCTGCAAATTCTCTGATACAAAGGGTACGCTTTTCCACAGAGGAAAATTCCAAGCGAGGCAGAAGTGCTTCTCATCTCTGTACTCGGTTCTGAGTTCCCCCAGTTTCAAGGGGACTTTTGCTCGCAGGTGAGAAAACAGGCCAAGGTGAGAGTTGAGGCCACCGAGAGCAATATTATTGCTTTCCAAAGAACAGTAGTGCTGGTTTTATTTTTATTTTATCGATGCCTTCAAAATGTTCTTCATTGTCCTGTGGCCTTAGGGCACGTGTTCAAAAATGATTCTACATTGCAGCAATCCTGTACTTGAAATTGCTATTAAAAAGAAAATGCCAGAAGACCACTCAGACTTTTCACTAAGGGACTGCTAGAGTAAGGAAATGCACCCCAAATCATGACCTTCCGAGTAATGTAAAACAAACAAGAGAGTAAAAACTTGAGGTAACTCAAGATTTTGTAAGAAAGCTAACTCATAAAGAAAAGAATAAAAATAAGAGTTCATTATTCACCTGTTTTCTACAAAGTACTTCTCATCATGGGAAGTTTTTTATTTCTGCCAGGTTTGGGGGGAGGTGTTTCTATTTAACTTCTCCTCCTCTCCTTCTCACAGCGTGCATATCTCGAAATATTTATACATTTAAAAATTATTTTATTATCCATCATGAACTATTGGCAGTTAATTTCTGAGCTCTTAAAATCACATAAAAAAACCCAGCCACCCACAATTTTATTTAAAGAAAAGAAACTTGCCTTTATTAATTTTCTTCATTGAAAGCTAAATATTGTAGTTCATTTTGGTTCCCCTCCTAACAGATTTGGCTAAAATGTCAAACATGAAGAAACTGTGAAAAATACCATAGAATGTGCCGAATAATGTATTACAAGAAAAATGTTTTTCATCAACACACACACACACACACACACACACACACACACACATACACACAGAAAAAAAAAACTGGCTCAGATTTAAAACATGCATTTGATCATATATCTATAATATTTTCCTTATGTTTATAGCATGTAGGTTTTGGGGAAGCCTAGCAGTTTTAAAGAACAAGACTACTTTTTTGAAGTAGGTTGAAAAATTCTTTCCAAAACGTTGCCTTTTAAAGGAAAGCAAAAAGTAGGTATTTTACGGCTTTCTAAATAGCATCACCTTAGGATATGTATATGTTTTTGCCATTTGGAGGGGGGCATGGTGTATGATATTTAAATGTTTATAACAGCGTAACAATGGTGAAAAAGCTATAGTTTCCCACACAAATAATGTACTTAGTCAAAGAAAGGGGAATTTGAATCTCAGTGAAAAGCATGTTTTAGAAAGTAAACTGTACTTGCAGTTGTTTTTGGGCTACTGGTGACCAAGTGAAGTCCTGGTGGCAGTTGCTTTGCAAATCCGAAGAATACAAATGACTCTGAATGTGGGCCTATGACACATGGGACAGGGTTTTAAATGTGAACACATGCTCCAGAGAAGCCTATGCAGGAATAAAAATTGTTCCTGTTTGGTTAGTTTGGATTCTGAAAGAAGCTTTTGTGTGTCAAGATGTAAGAGGATCCCAGGGCTGGAGCCCCTGCTCTGTGGCATGTAGGTCACTGTGTCTGTCCCAGGAACCAGGGCTGGAGCCGCCAGCACGCCTTTACGCTCTCGCCTGGCACTCGCTTTTGTAAGCCTTAATTTGCTTTTGCCAGAATGATTAAGAAAGGGACCCTTTTGTGCCCCTCTATGAAGTCTTTAATAGGGAGACCAGGAGGCTGGGAAGAGGTGTTTCTTGACTATCGATGCTCACAAAAATTAAAGAGCAGTTCTGTTTCAGTATTATAAAACTCTTCTCATTGAACACCATCCAGAAATCTGCTGGTTCAATTTCTTCGTCCCATCTGTTTCCCTCTCACTGGCTATATTTGTTAATATTTCCTCAAGCAGCAGGCTGTATTGCCCTCACTGTGCTACAGAAAAGGGCAGAGATTGATCATTTTTGCGGGACAGGGAAATGTTTATTTTGGGCAGGAAAGCAGCACATTTACTAGCTTCCTATCCAGAGGCAGAGACAAAACTTCTTCAAGAAAAAGGCAAAAAAAAACAAAAAAAAATGCAGAGCTTGTTTTGGTATCCGAGGGTGAGGACGGCTGGGGCGAGCCGGCAATGTCGGAAGAGCTATCAGCCTGCTTATCTGTCTTTCTGCTTTGGCACGTGAAAGCTCCCAGCTCAGCACGCCATGTGTCAAATTTATCATTTCGTATGTCAGCAACCATTATTCCCTCTTTTGTCACCAGTTTTGACCAAAGGATGAAAAATTGCTGTCTTACTCAGACAAGATTATTGCTGGAGGAAAAAAAAAGGGCAACTCCAGGATAGAGGAGCAGGCCAAGGTGAAACACAGGGAGACTCTCCTCAGATTAGGTCTGGGTTAAGAGAATATTGATCTGTGTGCTAAAAACTGTTGATCTCTCTGAGCAGAGGATGACAAATGGTAGCAAAAAAAAAAAAAAAAATTGAGTGTCTCCAAGGACATTTGAGCTGCTGTGAGTTTTCCATCAGTATTTGTTTGGTTTTTGGGTTTCTGCACTGGGGATTTCAACAAAAATAAGCAAATATTAAACAGAAATGAAGCAGCCACAAAAATGATACAGAGGAAAACCTAGGGGAAGAAGACCAGCCCAGAAACTGGGCAAGGTACACATATTAAATAGCAGGAGCATTAAAAATATAAAGTGCTGCTTGTCTAAGCTCATGGGTCATGTGTGGGGTGTGGGGTTTTTTGTTGTTGTTTCGTTTTGTTTTGTTTTGTTTTGTTTTTTGTTTTTGGCATGGTTAGTGCCAGAGTGTTACAAGTAGGAGAGAAGTGTTTTTGTCAAAAGTAGGTATCTTTAATTATGACAGGTTAGGCATTTAAAAAAATCATACCGCATATAAAGTATGATGCTGACGTTCATAAACCCACAAATGAGAGGAAATATAGAGGCTTGCATTCATTAAGCAAATACAGTATGACAAGGCATAAATTCAAATTGTTTGGGGTTTGAGTAATTTTTTCCCAACTGTAGAAATTGAACTCCAAGCATGGAAGAGAGCTAGAAGGTGGAAAATACCAACTATTTACTTTACATTCAAAAAGAAGACAGTGTTGTGGCTAAGGGCAGGTACCCCGAGGCCATACGCCCTGGTTTGAAGTCCATCCCGTCAGTCCCCTATATATGATCTGGGGTGAGATTTTTAACCTATGTGAGCTTTAGTGTTCTCTTCCGTGAAGGTAGGGTAACTATACTCCCCTATCTCATACTGTTGGTAGGAGGATTTGATAAATTAGCCTATGTAATACATTTACAACATATTGGCACAAAGTAAGCAAGAAATAAACACTACCATTATCTACTTCTTCACACGTTTATGAATTCCCTGCTCTCAGTTCCTTGGTGACATCACACACTGGGCCCTGTGCATGGAGCACGCTTGCCCACCTGCTTCCGTCATCCACCTGGCCAGCTCTTTCCTGCAGATCTTCCCGTTTACAGCTCAGCTTTGCAACCACAGTGGATCCTAACTCAGCCCACCTTTTCCCAAAACGATATTGGAAAACCCTCGACATTCTCTCATGGCTTGCTATTCTATTCCCCAATAATCAGTTTACTACAGTTTCTCCTATACTGGTTGGTCAATCTATTTAACAAATTACATTAGAGTTACTTAATATTCATAGCTTCTTATTAGTATCTTACCATAGACCTAGTGCTTTGTTAGACTGAAGTGACACCCTGTAAGGGGCATGTTTGCTCTGCTCTCATTGTACCTCCATCTCCTACTGGGGTACTTTGGGCCTTGGCCTGCCCAAAGAAAATGATCAATAAATATTTGTTAATTGAGTTAACCAATGAATGAATTCATGAGTGACTCTTTAGTACCCCAGGCAAGCCAGTGTCCTATTTGAGAACAGACTTCAGAGTCAGGGGACAAGATTTCTATTCTTGCTTTTCTTCTGTGGCCTTGAGAAAGTCACCACCTCCCCCAACTATCAGGCTCCTGAAAGGGCACGGAGGGTGTCGCACTGGAAGAGCTAAGATTTCAAAGCACCTTCTCAGCCTGAATGTCCCGGATTGGGTCATTCATAACATCTGTTGAAAACATGTCCACGGATTTTAAAACACCTGTCCCCGACATTTAGAAATTGTTAACATAGTTGAGAAGTATGTTTAGACACAATACTATTCAGTAGTGACTAAGTAAAGGTTGCGTTTACATATAACATGTTCACCTCTGTCACTACAGAGCCCGGCAGAACACCTAACATATGAAAATATCGATTGAAATATAATATTCAAAAATTACTTGTTGAATGAATAAAAGAACCACATTTTAGATAGGTTAATAAATTGTTATCTAAATTGGAGTAGAAGTTGTCTAAGAGTCTCTGTTAACACTGATTTTAGTAGACCTGTGTAAGCTTCTCATACTAAATGTATGCAAATTAGTTACTTTCCTTGAATTAAAACAACGTGTTTCCATTCTCTTTCACCAGGCAAAAGTTTGATCAGGTTAAGTAAACCACCACAGTTCCAAATCTTGGAAGAAGAAAAAGACACTGCTTTTTTTTCTTATTTTCACAAATCCAGTCTTGACTATTTGTTTCTTTGAAATAAAAACATAATTAAATACCTTGACACCAAAAGGTAATCAAAACCCTATACACGTAGTTTTTGAGCAAGTTCTGTCTTATTCTATAGTATGTATTAGTCATAGACTATTCTGCTTGAGATGTTTTAAAGTTTTAGTTTATTTAAAACATAGTGTTTTCAATCCTAACTAAAAATTTAGCGCACACCATAAAATGAAACCTTCACAGAAATGAATGCTCATATTTCATTGTACTGCATACTTCTGAATTAATTGCCTCCAAAGCATAAATGTTCATATTAATTAATGGTGTAATTGAAAGAGTACAAGGTTTACAGTTAGGAAGACCCATATTCCAGCCCCAGTGGTGTGACTTCTGTTTCTGTAGTCTTTGCCTGTGTGATTGCTGGCAACTTAGTCTCTCTGAGTTTAACTCATCTTTAAAACTCAAAATCCCAACATAACGGATCAAGAATTAAATTAAGTAATATATATTAAGTGCCTACCTACATAGTTAGCATGGAATAAAAGATACATTAACAGATGGCTATATACAGTTAACTGTGTTTCCATTTCAGTATTTATTGATATCTTATAATGCAATGCAGGCATGCTAAACAATGTGGAGATTCAAGATTGTTTTAACCAAGAGCACACTTTCATCATATTTACTGCAAAAGCTAAACGAGTGTCTATAATAAGATTTCTTTCTCTTCCTTAAGAAGAAATCCAAGGTAATGCAAATGAAAGTATAAAATCCCACAAATGCATAAATATGGAATTTGCACAGTTGTTTTGTACTAATAAGGAATGTTTGCTCTTAATCTACTTGAAAATTTGGTGTCTAACACATTGTCAGGATACCATGGGAGTTATTAATAATAGCTCCACATATTATAATTATTAGCTCTAAAGTTAAATCCTAAAAAATTGCCTAGTCCCATATGGACCTAAAATTGTTATTTAGTATATGAGGAATTAATTGGCTGTAAGTTAGAAACCTGTCCTCTGCCATTGATCCTAAGTGTCTTCCTTCACTTTATTATGGGACATACTCATATGTTCTGATTATTCTTTAAAAATCTCTGCTCTCTCTCCCTCCCTTCCTCCCTCCCTTCCTTTCTTCCTTTATATATCCCTCTCTCCCTCCCTTTCTCTCTCTCTCCTCTCTCCTTTCTCCTCTTTCCTTCCTTCTCTCCCTCTCCCTCCTCTCCCTCTTTTTTCCTCTCTCTCCATTCTCTTCCCTCTCCTCTTTCTCCCTCTCTCTCCTCCATCTCCTCTTCACTCTGAATCTCTCTCACTCTTTCTTCCACTCTTTTTGTTTGTTTGTTTTTTTTTTTGTTTGAGACGGATTCTCCCTCTGTCGCTAGGCTGGAGTGCAGTGGTGCAATCTCAGCTCACTGCAACCTCTGCCCCCCGGGGCCCAAGCGAATCTCCTGCCTCAGCCTCCCGAGCAGCTGGGACCACAGGCGTGCACCACCGTGCCCAGCTAATTTCTGCATTTTTAGTAGACACAGGGTTTCACCATGTTGGCCAGGATGGTCTCCATCTCTTGACCTGGTGATCTGCCGACCTCAGCCTCCCAAAGTGCTGGGACTACAGGTGTGAGCCACCATGCCCAGCCTCTTCCACTGTTTTCTTCCTTCATTTCTTCTGACATTCCTGGAACATATTCTGATCATATTCCAAAAAGATACTAGAAAATATTCCAGCAGGAAATAAAAGATGCAGTCAAATTAGGATAATTTGGGAGTTTAATAAAGAGACTGCTTACCCAAGTAAGGGTGAGGTCAAAGGAAACTACAGGAGCCAGGGCAGTGCCCTGGGCTAGCAACAGGAGAGTTTCTTACCCCCAGACCCAAACAGGCTAACATGAAGTGGGGTGTAGGGGAAGGTATGGAGAGGTGGGAGGAGCTTCTGGAGCCCGAGAAGCCATGTGGAGACACTGCCTGGTGTGAGCTTAGGTCTTCAGCAAGGATCCAGTAAGCCCAGGGGAAAGAGTGGAGGAATAAATAGCCCGGGCTGACTCTTGGTGCTCCCTCCCCTCTCTGTGGGAGCACCTGATGGTCAGGGCCTCCCCATCAGCCCACACAGACCAGTCTCCTGGACACAGAGCAGGTGAGAAAGAGTGGACAGTGAACCCAGAGGGGTGAGTGGAATCCATCCAGCCTGGGGGTTTAACCACATACACAATATCATGCTATAACTTAAATGTAAAGTAAGTATGAAAAGTGAGTCAGTATTCTCAGAAATAAAGTCAGTATTCTCAGGAAACATACAACATGGGCCTGAAACAACTTGTAGTGCCAGAAAGGAAGGAAGTACTCAAAACAAACAAACAAACAAAATGATGGGCTATGGAACACAGGAGCCAACTGAAAAAAACTTTCAATGACCGAAGCTGGAACAACCTGAGCAACAAAATAAAGGAATATTGATTAAACCCCAGAGTATAAATATGCACCCATGAGTCCAGGATGATTTAAATAAATGATCAAATAAGTAAATAAATAAGGGGGAAAAGACAAATCTCCCCGTAGAAGAATCGCAAATAATGTATGTAGATCCTCCACTTTCAAGAACTTGGAGCATAACTCTCTACCCATTAAGTGTGAGCTGTGACAGGGTGACTCCCTTGCAAAGAATACAGTATGGAAAGGTGCAGTTGGGAGCAGGAGTGGAGAGTAACTTTACAAAGACTACTTCTGCCAGGTGATCAAGGTGTGCATCAACAGTGATTAGTGGTGTTGATAGTTGATAGGATATGATGAAAATGTCACATTACATCTGTGGTCCTCCTCCCAGAAACCCATAACTCCAACTGAATCGTAAGAAAACATTAGACAATCCCAACTGAGGGACAGTCTGCAAGGTACAGTGCTCTTAAAACTGCCAAAGTCATCAAAAACAAGGAAAGTCTCAGAACCTGTCATAGCTGAGGGAAGCCTAGAAAGACACAATGACTTGATGTAATGTGGAATCCTAGGTGGGATTCTGGGACCAAACAACAGACATTAGGTAAGAACTCAGAAAATAAAAATCAAGTATGGACTGTGCTTGATACTGATGCATCCAGATGTGCTCATCAAATATAACAAATGTACCATCCTAATCTAAGATGTTAATAAGAGGGGAATCTGAGTGTAGGGCATATGAGAACTCTCTGTGCTATCCTCACATATCTCTTTTTATGAGAATCTAAAACTGGCCTAAAAAATTCAGTTAAAAAAATGAGTTGCCACAATAGATACAGGCAAGTGCAACAGAGAAATGTGAGAGGGAGGTTGATTCCTGCAAATGGTGCCGTAATGAAGCTGGCAGCCCTTGCTATAGTGAGGCAGTTCATTCACAGTTTTGGAAATTATAGTCCCTCCGTTCCTAGTCACAAATGCTATCACTCTGGTTGCTCTACAAATAATCACAACTTTGAGTTCTACAGTGAGAATTTGGAGGCATTGGCTAAAAATCTTATCCTCACAAACACATTTGAACTGCATGGACAGCTCCTCCTCCACCCACATACATGACACCATGTAGCCACAACCTCGCACTGGGCTGACACAGAAACACCACACTCTGTAGAAAGGAGAAGCCATAGAGGGTCTTCTGCCACAATGAACCCTACAATTCTGATTAAATTCTCAACTTCTTTTCATCTCAATTTTCACCTGTAAAATGATAAAATAGAACAAGATTACTTTCTGCCCTTTCTACCTCTGAAATTCTTTTCCCAGAAGTACCTGAATGATTAATTTGATGGAATAAATGATTGAATAAGTAAATAAATAAAGACGGAAAGAAAAATCTCCCTTGTAGAAGAACCCCCAAAAATGTATGTAGATCCTCCACTCTCAAGAGGGTGTAATCCTCGACCCTTTAAGTGCAGGCTGTGACAGGGTGCCTCCTTTTCAAAGAATATAGTATGGAAAGGTGGGGGCGGGAAAGAAGTTCTTTGGCAAAGATCATTTTCAGCAATTAAGAAACAAAAATATGTCTATCTGACACCCCACTGCTTTAGGACTAGCAGTGTATAATGGCTCCATGAGGACAGCTCCATCTGTGTTCTCCTCCACGATTCCCAGTGCATACATTCTGAAAGCATACTTGTTAGATGTTTGCATTTGCATGTATAGCCAGAAAATTCAACCAAACAAGTGCCCAACATTTGTATACATTTATTTTACATCATGCTTCCAAACATCACAGCTTCAGATTTTCCTCAACCAGCTAGTTATAGGGAATAACAAGAAAATATTTAATTTTTGCTTTTAGCTCATATCCAAATGTCTTATAAGTATTTAAAAGAGAGACCATATCTGTTTTTTTCTCTCTATCAAAACTAACCTTCGAAATTCTTCACTATACGTTAATGACCTTGAGTCTAAAACAAGTGATCATACATAAATTCCATCAGGTCTCTTTGTCTCAGCTTTCCTCATCTGTAAAGTGAGGGAACTGGACTGGATTTGTAGAAATAATTAAAAGGTCACTAAACCAACCACCTCTTGGTCCTTGAATCTCCTGTGCAAGCTTCCTATTAAGGCGTGCCCCGTTTCTAACATTCAAAGATGTAATTATGATTGAATTATTATATTTTGTGGATTAAATGATCACATGTGTCTAGATACATAAAAATGAAGCTATAGTTATGATTTTAAAAACTCATCTATATTTTTTCAACATAGGCGATTTCATTATAGACTCCTATGTTTCATAATTTTAATACCACAAAAATTTTACCTCAGTTATGACACTGAAATTAAAGCAGGGCTTTTAAAAGATACTTCCAAAAGTTAGAATTTATGGACTCCTTTGAGAATTTGATGAAAGCTATGGGACATCTTTCCAGAAATAGTATACTTACATGTAATACACATTAATACACACACACACACACACTAAGCTCACAGGCATATCTCCCTCAGGCCCATCTCTATTTCCATAGTGCCTATGTATCTCAATTTAAGAAATACTGATCTAGAACAATACTTGTTGAATTAGTGAAAGGATTAGAATGTCATTTTTTTGGGCCGGGCGCGGTGGTGGCTCACACCTGTAATCCCAGCAGTTTCGGAGGCCGAGGAGGGTGGATCACGAGGTCAGGAGATGGAGATCATCCTGGCTAACATAGTGAAACCCCGTCTCTACTAAAAATACAAAAAAATTAGCCGGGCATGGTGGCACACGCCTGTAGTACCAGCTACTCGGGAGGCTGAGGCAGGAGAATGGTGTGAACATGGGAGAGGGAGCTTGCAGTGAGCCAAGATCATGCCACTGCACTCCAGCTTGGGTGACAGAGAGGGACTCTGTCTCAATTAAAAGAAAAAAAAAAAGGTCTTTTTTTTTTCAAATTTATTCACAAGTCTCTTACAGGACTCAGCCTAAGTGCTAATTATATACAAGTTTATTCACTAGATACTGAAAACACATTATATGGAAAGAGATGCAGAACAATTCATATAATACAAATAAGACATTTAAACAATTTATAAATACCCTATTTATCTATCTATCTATCTATCTATCTATCTATTTATCTGCTTTAAAGTATATAAAATTTGCCAAAAGAAATACCACCAAACTCATAATAGCTGTGGCCCTTATGAGAAATATAATAATGACTGAAGTACATAATCCTTTCTTTTTGTACAAATGGACAGCAGAACTCTGATACATTGTTAACAGTGATTAATCCAGAAAGGTTGGCCTATGGGTAGAGTTTGATCATTCTTTGTACTTTTGTGAGTCGTAGTTTAACTCTCCCACATAGCACCCCACGCTCAGTGTAGCACGGCTGCCTATGACCATTCTCAGGACCAATTTTCTGCTTTTGCCACAGAAGAATGTTTGAGAGTTGAGAACAGAGGACTGCGGAGTAGTTGTATGGGGCAGGAGATGGCTAATGTAAGTGGTCAGCAGTGTGGGAAAAGGAGGGTGCGGGCAGAGGACAACCTATATGAAGCTTCTAAGAAAAGAGTTTCTGGGGCCGGACGCGGTGGCTCACGCCTGTAATCCCAGCACTTTGGGAGGCCAAGGCGGGTGGATCACGAGGTCAGGAGTTCAAGATCAGCCTGGCCAACATGGCCGTCTCTACTAAAAATATAAAAAAAAAAAATTAGCCAGGCATTATGGCATGTGCCTGTAATCCCAGCTACTGGAGAGGCTGAGGCAGGAGAATCGCTTGAGCCCAGGAGGCGGAGGTTGCAGTAAGCCGAGATCGCGCCACTGCACTCCAGCCTGGGTGACAGAGGAAGGCTCCGTCTCAAAAAAAAAAAAAAGAAAAGAGTTTCTGCGCCACACTTTCATGGCAATCCAAGATAACTCATTTGTACACCAACACTTTATGTCACCTGCAGTCCCAACTCTGGCCCTAAACTGCCAGTTGTGTTTGCCATGTCCCTGATATAAGGCCATACTGTCTAGACCTTAATATAAGGAGTATTTAGACACATCCTCTCAAAGTAATTGATTGACTAAATAAAAAATTAACTCTTTAAACTACAGTGTTTAGTGTATTTTCACGTTTTATAAACTCACATTCTAAATTACATTAAACTTAAAAGTACTGAAAATTAAATTTCTGATTGAAATAAAATTCTGAATAAATTTTAGGGAAAGAACTAATATAAACCATCCAAATTCTTCTAAGATCATCAGTGGAATAATCTTTTTTTCTCACATGCTCTTTGCACTAGAATCAGTTCTGAACAAATATTTTTGTAACAAAGAAGTGAGTAAATTTAAAACATGGATGATTGTTATATAACATACTTTTTAATCTGCTTTTTTCGTTGATTACAAATTTAAATGTCCAATTGTGTGAGATTAATTTCATTAAAAATGTATATAGAGTACCTACCATGTGGCAATTACTGGACTAGTTGCTAGAATAAAATTAGCCAACATGAAGTAATGTATAAAATGATTTTTTCCAGAAGGCTATCATTAAACATAAAAGTACTTTTTTCTTCTACCATTGTATCAGATCTGATTTAAAATATGCTGTTTTAAGATGAATTATAAACTGTCAGAATTCATGGTTATGAAAAGGGATTTCCAGATATATCTAATGACTTGGAATTTGTGTTTAATCTAACAAACCACACTGACTATTGAATTTGTGTGTCTGCGAATATAAAGATTTATTGTCCCTGGAGGTAATTATTGACCTCAACATCTTATCAGTCAATATTTACCTCTTAGGCCAATAAATCTTGATATAACCTCATGAAAGTCAATATCTGTTTAATAGTATACATGGAAATCTGTAATAGTTTGATTACAGGCTTCAATGTCACACTGCCTAGTGCACCCCTTCACATCTAAGGGACATTGAATCATTCCTTCTTTTCAACGCAGACAAAAACACCTTTGGTTGCTATGATTCACTCATTCTTGATCTAACACTTGATTGGAAATTTTTATATCATTCCTTAATTCTTTTTGCATACAAGTCTTGCTTCTTCAATCAACTTGTAAGCCCCCATGAAGCCTGAGACAAATTTAATGCTTTTGTGGTTGTATTATTTGCTCCTAGCACACCTCTTCATCATTATAAATAAAACAGCTTCGTGGATGGACAAGTTTTCTAGCCCATGGCCCCCAGAGGTTACTAAGTAAGCCATTGCCCTTCCAGCCTGCACAACTAAAAATATCTCCAGGACTCAAGAAGGATTCAGTACCACAAGATGTCAAGACAGCAGAAATGAGTACTTAGTAAGGATCATGATTGTTTCTTATTCTGAGAAGTCAGAAAGTTGGGGCCCATAGTGGGGTATAGAGTTCAAGCGTCATGCTGTAGCCTTTGATAATATTTAGCTAGTTTACAAAACGCACTAGTTGGTTCATGCCCAATAAATATGTGTTGACGAGCCCCTCACAAGGGGCAAATATCGAAATCATTTTTGCTGTTTCATGTGCCCTTTATGCAACATTAAAAACAGTATAAAAACAATTAGGCTACTTCAAAGAGTCCTTTATACTGGTCAAGCAAAACCATAGGCCAACAATTAGATTAGATCAAAAGGACTACATATTCAATGGCTGCAAATATCCTCAGCAAGGTTTCCTTCATGATCTCAGGGTTTTAACAGCACCATTGGGCTTCTGATGGCCCGATATGAGAAGGTTCACCAGGTTTCAGGGTCTGGGCTTGATTTCCTTGTTAACAGCCATTTGCCTTCGAAAACATGTCTACACTGCTAATGGTTTGGAAACTAAATGCATCTTCAGCCTGTGGTGTCTTTCATATTGCAACAACATGCAATCAGGCCTACTAGAGCAGCAAACATTGAGGAAAACTCACATAGATATTATTGATAGCAGACCTGAGTTCCTCATTTCCCTTTCATGCAAGCACAGCTCCTGAGATCTAGCAGGGCTGATGTCATCACTGAGGAAATTTCTTGACCCTCGTGCTGTACAACTTTTATGATGCATGATTAGGAAAAAGCAGTCTCTCTCTCCTGATAGGATCTCTCTCTCCTGATAGGATCTGGGACTGGGAACACAAGCAATATGACGTCACAAAACCTAGGATTCTGCTTCATCCTGCCAGCTCAGCAGCTGTGGTTAGCAGTAGCATTACCTCCTCTGGCCATGGCTGGTAGTATTTCCCAAGAGGGAAATACTGAGGTCCAAACATTGCAGTGAACAAAAGAACTGATTGCCGTAAGCATTGGAATGCAGCCAGTTTGCATAGAGATTTGCAAGAAGCCAACTGTTTTCTGAGATCAGTCTTGGATAAGATAACTTTTACATCTCTGTCTATAACACAAACCCAAAGGATGTCCACATTGTCTGCAACTCGTACCATTTGGACTTAAAAGATTATGAGACTACCTACAGACACAGTCACAGAACACATTAAAATATGATTAGACATGGCTGGGTGACTGCAACTAGCACATAGAAAATGATTATTTGTAAGAACAAAACTGGGATACACACATTATCTAGTGCATAGTGTCATATGGCAAATATCTTTAGCCTTTTTGGAAGCATTGTTTCCAAATCTTTTCCAGTAACTTAAGAACCTGTTTCATCCTGAAGAAAAGAAAAACCACACACAATTCACTCAGCATTCAGCCAGGAGATAGTCGTGTCTACAGGTTGGTGTCTGCTCAGCCTTTTTCAAAGGACAGTCAAGATATTCCAGCTGCTTGAGGAAGTCAGGATGTGGGGAAAAAACTCTGCAACCGTGTGGATCCAGATTATCCCCTACTCCTGAATCTGGAATACCAAGAGACATGAGAAGAGGGAGAAAACGCACCCTGCAGCCATAGGTATATTCAGGACTTGTATAATTTTAGATAAGTGATCCATCTAGTACACCAGTTTGGGAGAAACACTGAGTTGTCCTTGGTTTGACTGTTCCAGAGTTACATTTATCTCTCATTATGTGAGCCATAAGGGCCATTGCATCGCACATGGGACAGTCCAGGGCTATACTGACTTAGCAGGGAAGAGTTCATTGTCTGACTGAGTTATGTATTAATATCTTAATTCTTGACTATGATCAGTGCTATTATTTGAATGTGTTTCTCCCACCCAAAATTTAATGTGTTGGAAACTTAATCTTCAAATTTTTATGTTGATGGTATTTGGAAGTGGGGTCTTTGGGAAGGAACTAGGATTACATAATGTCATCAGGGTGGGGCTTCCATGATGGGACTGGTGGCTTAATAAGAAGAGGAAGAGAAGCCTGAGCTGACACGCTCCTGCCTTCTCACCCTGAGAAAGCCTTCTGCCATCTATGACACAGTACAAAGCACCTTGCCAGATGTTGGTGCCATGCTCCTGGACTTCCCAGACTCCAGAAATGAACTAAATAAATCTCTACTCTTTATAAATTGCCCCATATATGGTATTCATTTATGGCAACAGAAAACAGACTAAGACAATAGCAACATCTGTATTTGGATATTTAATAACTCTGCCTTGATTGTGAGGTCTGCCTTAAGGATTCTAGTGTTTCCAGAAGGTTGTCAGCTAACAACCACCGGGTGCCATCCCTTTGGATGATGTTGTATTATCTGAAAATCACAGGGACAGAGGGTCATTCTGGGGTTCCTTTCTTCTCTGCCATCCTGATTGTTGCATTCTCCCTAACATCCCCTCAATCTATACACTAACTGATCTCATTGTATCCACCATATCACAAAGGGGGCCACTCATATATCTCCTGTTTTTTGTTTTTTTGTTTTGTTTTTTTTGTTTGTTTGTTTTTTGCTTAATGTTACTAGGCATACTGTCTTAGCCTTCCCTTGACTGGAGTCTTATCTCTCTATAATGACTACCTTCAAGATCTTTAACATCTACTAAAACATTCTGCTTGGTGTTCAGGATTTCATAAGGTTTCTTCTTAAGGGCAGTATGAGTCTACCTGTGCCCACAACTCTGTCTCACAATTGCCCACCCCCTCCAAGATACGTCTTTGATCTTTAGCCCCTTGATTTTCTTTCAAATGACCATGATAAGCTGGCTCACAGCACTAACTACCACACAATCTGAATAGGTGGCTGGATGGTGCCATTTGAGAACTCCTAGGGTAGTGTGCTCTGGGCTAAAGTCTCAGAGTAGGATCAGTAGCAGCTGGACAGGTCACCAGAGCCATCCATCTTAGTGCAGCCACCAGACATCTGTCAAGGACAGACTTTGGACTGTGTGGCATTTAAGCTCCTCCCATGGCATGATTGTGGGATTGGGCTCAAACCTGGTGGTTGACCAGAATTGATTGCTTCAAGACCTAAACCATAGCCAGGTTCCATGGAGATCTACAGGAGGCCAAGGCCTGACTGCAAGGGATAATTTTTGAACACTTCTCATATTGGTTCTGAAAAATTGCTGGCACTTTTGAGAGTGGCCCCAAATTTTACTTTGTGCAACAGATTATTATTTGACAATTTCAATGAGTACTGTTGAAAGAGAACTTAAAACAGTCCTTATAAAAAATAATGCCTTCAAATTAATTTATTTGTTCTTTAATTTATTATCTCATTCAAATATTTATTTAATATAGATTGAGCAGCCCTATTCTGAAAATCCAAAATCTGAAATGCTCCAAATCTGAAACTCTTTGAGCAGCAAAATCACAGCACAAGTGGAAAATTCCACTCCTGGTCTCATGTGATGGGTGCACAAAATTATTCAAAATATTGTATAAAATTAGCTTCAGCCTACACACATAAGGTGTATATGAAACATAGATGAATTTTGTGTTTAGATTTGGGTACTGTCCCCAAGATATCTCATTATGAGTATGTAACTATTTCAAAATCTGAAAAAATATAAAATCGGAAATACTTCTGGTTCCAAGCATTTCAGACAAAGGATATTCAAGCTGTAGTAACTACATATCCATATGCTGATCACTTAAACATATATTTTAAAAAGTCCAACCACAAGGATTTTATTATACCATACCATGTAGTTTGAGTGAAAAAGCTAATATACCTGTGTGTCCAGATTAATCAGTGAATTTAATCATGAATCAAATACATGAAAATATGAGATGTTACAAAATGGTGTGGATTTAAGTGTTTCATGGGTGTTGAGGTGTCCAAATTCGTTCAATACTGCCAATGCACCAATAACCAACTAACCAGCCTAAGTTAATCAAAGGTCTCCAAATTTGGCTACCCACATCAGGCCCCACCCTGTTCCATTCTCCATACACCCCTACTAACAAAATCTTTTTAGATGGCAAATCTGATCATGCCGACCACCCTCACCCCACTTCACCTCAGTTTAAATGCTTCAAGGGCTGCCACTGTTCATGGATGGACAGCCCCCCATGCCCACCTCTCAAGCCCCATCTCACAACTTGCCCTCTACCCTTTTTCTTCTTTTCATGCTCATTCCTGCTGCAAGGTTTTTGCTCCTGTTGTTCCACTGCCTGAAACTCCTCTTTAAATATGACTCATTGTTTAGCCCATTATCATGTCTTTGTGAAGGCCTTTCGTACACTCTCTACTGGTTAAATTCTCTTGTATAGATTCTCATGGCATCGTGCACCTCTCTTGCAAGTTACTGTTGAACTACTGTATTTGTTTGTGTAATTGTTTAATTGATATTTATCTTCCCCACTAGTCTCTGAGCTTCTTGAGGTTAAAGCTCATCCTGTGTTTGCTCATTCTTTTATCCTCAGCACCAAACACTAGGCATGGCAATAGTGGGTACTCGGGGATTGAGAATATGAACATATCACTGTAGGTTGGACTGTCACAGGAAACGTCAAGGAATAGGAGGTATTGGGAAACCCAGAGGGAGATAGTTTTGTTTGTTTGTTTTTTGAGACGGAGTTTTGGTCTTGTTGCCCAGGCTGGAGTGCAGTGGCATGATTTCAGCTCATTGCAACCTCTGCCTCCCCGTTTCAAGCAATTCTCCTGTCTCAGCCTCCCAAGTAGCTGAGATTACAGGCACCCGCCACCACGCCCGGCAAATTTTTTTGTTGTTGTTGTATTTTTAGTAGAGATGGGGTTTTGCCATATTGCCCAGACTGGTCTCGAACTCCTGACCTCAGGTCATCCACCCACCTCAGCTTCCCAAAGTGCCTGAGATTACAGGCGTGAGCCACCATGCCTGGCCGGGAGATAGGTCTTGATTGGCAGGAAAGAGCTGTGAAGATATTTCTAGCGGGGAAGAACTTTGTGAACAGAAGCAGAGAAACCTGTAGAAGCGTGATGCCCTTAACATATGATGCAAGATCCACATTAGAAATGAATAGATGAAAAGCTGAAAAGATAAGTATGGCAAGATGTATTTCCCAGAGATGTGCCACAACAGCAATTTTCATTTCCTGTGTTCTTCTGTGATGCCTACTATCGTTGTCTAGTTCCCACTATTGTTTGTAGGGAGTTGAGGACCAATAGCTTGTCCCTCGGAACTGTACTCAAAGCCCTTGGCCTAAGGAGCTTCATCTTTTTCTAGACCTGATCTACATGAGATCTTGGCCCTTAAGCTGGAATTATAATGTGATAAGACACTGTGGTGTTTGCAAAGGGTTTTTGCATTTTGCATGGTTAAGAATTGTTGTGGCCTAATGTCCAACAATGATAGACTGGATTAAGAAAATGTGGCACATATACACCATGGAATACTATGCAGCCATAAAAAATGATGAGTTCATGTCCTTTGTAGGGACATGGATGAAGCTGGAAACCATCATTCTCAGCAAACTATCGCAAGGACAGAAAACCAAACACCGCATGTTCTCACTCATAGGTGGGAATTGAACAATGAGAACACATGGCCAGAGGAAGGGGAACATCACACACCGGGGACTGTTGTCGGTGGGGGTAGGGGGGAGGGATAGCATTAGGAGATACACCTAATGCTAAATGACGAGTTAATGGGTGCAGCGCACCATCATGGCACATGCATACATATGTAACTAACCTGCACTTTGTGCACATGTACCCTAAAACTTAAAGTATAATAATAAAATAAAATAAAATAATTGTGGCCAGAGAGTGGGCTGTGGCAGATTATGTTTCCTAAAGATCTCAGCATCAATATCTCCATCCCACAAGACAATAAAGACATTCTTACCACCAAACAGAGGTGTCCATATTTATTTCCTCCTATGGAACTGGAATGGAACCTTGTGACTACCGTGACCAAGGAAGTACAGTAGAGGTGAAGTCATGAGATTCCTGAGGCTAGTTTATCAAAGTTCATGCAGGTTCTGTTTGGATTTCTTGGAACACTCACTGTCCACATGACCCTTATCATGACATTCCATATTGGAACCCAGCCATCTTGCTGAAAGAAACCCAAGCCAAATGGAGAAGCATGGAAAAGCTTTAGTCAGCACTTCCAGATGAGCCCCGCCTTTGATTCATCCCACCCAGGTACCAGATATGTAAGTGAACAAGCCCCCAGAAGATTCCAGCCACAACCATTTGAGCCTTCCCCGCTGAGGCTGCAGACATCCAAAAGGGCAGAGATGTGGCATTTCTGCTGTGCCAAATCTGAATTCCTGACCTACAGACCTATGGGCATAAAAGGGTTGTTGTTTTATGCCACTAAGTTTGGGGTGGTTTTTATGCAGCAATATATAACCTGAACAATAAAACCAGATTGTGGGAGCCTTGCATATCAGACCAAGGAATGTAAATTTCATCCTGCAGGTCAGTGATTTTCTTACTCTGGTCCACAGAGACCCCTCCATGGCCTCAAGGGAAGGCAGCACTGGGAAAGGGAGACAGAGCACTCGGGGTGCACAGCCATCTACTTCCATCATTTGCATCTGCTTTGTGTACTGGGTTTCCAGGTGTGCCTTTGCTTAAGGGCTGTGATAAAAATAATCAAGTATAGGTACTTTTCTGGATGTAAATTAATAGCCATGACTCTATAAGGTCATATTTATAAACCAGAGGAGCTTCTCATGGACACACTGCTGGATCAGTAGTTCAATGCTCCTCCAGGCACCTGCTGCAAGCATGTCTGCATATTCTCCTGTGTGAGGTTTGACTCAGTTATGGGTCACTATAGTGATCTCTTACCTGTCATTGCTCTCCAAGCTCTTGTCAGGCCTATGCTGCCGTCACAGACTGCATCTTTCACCTCATGCTAATTTCTCTCCAGCTGAGCTGCTGTATCCCAATGCTTCCCAAGTTAGGTCTTTGGACAAGCCTCAAAACAGAATCGTCTGTTAAAAAATGAGTTTTCGGGTGCATTTCCCCATATCTACCTGTGGAATCTGAGTCTTTGGGGGTTGGTTGTAACAGTTAACTATTCAAAATATGAGAAATCGACTCCACCTTTTAATACGAGTAACTACGAAGTCACAATGCAAGGCACGGATCTAGGCATGGATTCAGGGAGTTCATTAATTGGGTCAGTATACCATAGGGGTAGGGATTTAAAATATGCTTTTTGAACATGCTGTCCAGGGCCTACAAGCATTTTTAAAGCACTTTACTGAGGGAAAACTGACATACAAAAAGCTGATATTTAACATGTACAACTGGATAAGTATGGAGATAAGTATGCACACATGAAGCCATCATCCCAATCTGTGCCGTAAACCCATACAACACCTGCAAAAAATTTCCTCCTGCCATCTTATTCATTATTACATTATTATTATTATTGCTTCTGTGATAACACATAACATAACATCTACCCTCTTAGCAAACTTTTTTTTTTTTTTTTTTGAGGCTAAGTCTCGCTCTGTCGCCCAGGTTGGAGTGCAGTGGCGCGATCTCGGCTCACTGCAAGCTCCGCCTCCCAGGTTCACGCCATTCTCCTGCCTCAGCCTCCCGAGTAGCTGGGACTACAGGCGCCCGCCACCGCGCCCGACTAATTTTTTTTTGTATTTTTAGTAGAGACAGGGTTTCACCGTGGTCTCGATCTCCTGACCTCGTGATGCACCCACCTCGGCCTCCCAAAGTGCTGGGATTACAGGCGTGAGCCACTGCGCCTGGCCCCTCCTAGCAAACTTTTAAGCATATAACACAGTATAGTTAACATAGGTACAGTGATGTGCAGTAGATCTCTAGGACTTACTGTATAATCTTGTATAATCAAAACTTAGTACTCTTTGACTAATATCTCCCCATTTGCCCGTCTCCCCAGGCCATGACAATCACCACTTCACTCTCTCATTCTTTGAGTCTGACTCTTTTTTATTCCTTTTGTAAGTAGTATCACGTAGTATTTGTTCTTCCATGTCTGGTTTATTTCACTTAGCATAATGTCCTCCAGGTTCCCCCATGTTGTTGAAAATGTGTTGTATCTATACAATGAAATACTATTCAGCCTTAAAAAAAAAAAAAAAAGGAAAGCCTGAGAGCATCTTTTACACATCAAAGTTTGAGAAGCCCAGGACTTACAAAGAAGCACCAGACTCCAGAGCCTGTATCTAATAGAGTCAACTCTATTAAGCGATAGCTATGTCACAAGAGCCATTGAGAGTTTCTGCGGGGAGCTTCAGAGGGAGTAACCTGTTGACTCAGTGCAGAGTGGAATGGAACAGAGAAAGACTGCCAACAGGAAACTAGTTAAGTTGTTTTAATAACTTAGGTGTGAGGTGACAAGGGCCTGGGAAATCAAGGTGTCATCTGTGCTGCATTCCTTTCTGAGCTCTCTAGAGAAAAATTGGTTGTACTGTTTATTTCAGCTTACATGCCGTGGCTTCACCTCCATCTTCGAAGCCAGCAGTGTGACATCTTCACATCTCCCTCTGACACTGACTTTCCTTCCTCACTCTTTCCCCTCCGAGGATCCTCGTGATTACAGAGCCCACCCACATAATCCAAGAAAACCTCTGCATCTCAAAATCCTTACTTGAATCGTGATTTGTTCAAAGAGTCTGGGAATTAGGACATGGATTTCGTTGTTACTATAATTTTCTTTTGTACAGACAGGCCTCGCTTTGTTGCCCAGGCTGGTCTCAAACTCCTGGCCTTGTGATATTCCTGCCTCAGCCTCCCAAAGCGTTGGGATTACTGGCATGAGCCACCATCCTGGACAGGACACGGATTTTGTTGGGAGCCATTATTCTGTCTAGTACACTAGCCTTTGCCCTTCTGAGGACCTTCTGTGTAGAAAGCAGGTAAAGAATCTGTGGGTGGTTATCCACTGGTGTCCGTTTTTAATTGTCTGGGGGTTCCCCTGGGGGCATTAAACCTCACACACTTCTTGATGCTCCAGCAATGGGCCAGCAAGCTCCTATGACTCAAGAAAAAGCTCTCAGGCAGAGAAGCTGAGAAAAGTGGGTGCTTGAGGTGGAAACTGTGCTCTGAGGTTGCAGGTTAGTTCAGAGGTGAAGGAAATGTTTATGGGCAAAGTAAGAGCCACATCTGGTACAGATCATTATCATTATCACCTCCAAAGCCAAAGCATGATATTACCAGGCCCATCTATCCTTAGACTCATTTTTCTGCTCCTTCTTTTTCAATTCCCCTTGTTGAAAACATGTTTTCCAGGCAAAGACTAGAAGAAACTTTGCCAAGCCTATGAAGTGTTCAGACTCTCTCACAGAGTCACTTCCTCTGCCCTTCTATGGGGATTTGTCCTTCACAATCCCTGTGACCTGACACCACCTATCTTTATTCTTAATAGTTACAATAGCTACTATTTTAACACCATCTCTGTTCCCTAACTAGGCAGCTAAATTGTTGAAAGCTGGAGCTAAATTTTTTTAAACAATCACTTTATTTTTAGCTGGAAGTGGTGCTTAGTCCACGGCTGGTAAACAAACCCACAAAGAACTAAGTGCAGTGCAGGCTCAGGAATCACTGTAGGACCAGAACAGTGGTTTGCCCAAACACTTATCAATGCCTTTTTAGCATTAAGTGGGTACTTGTGATTGGTTTGGGAATGACTGGAAGGGTTATACTCAGTCTTCCCTTGCAGTTTCTTCTATGTATTTTGCTTGTACCAAAACCTCAACTTTAACAGTAAGAAAAAAGTCATAGGTTTGTAAATCAAAGACCATATGCAACTTGAGCACTGAGTAATACTGAGCCTGAAAATCTGCCCAAAATTTAACTATAAGAGGATGCTACCTTAACTACAAGAGAGTGCCACCTTAACTACAAGAGAGTGCCACCTTAATGGATGAATTGCTCAGGGCCCTTCCCAAGCCAGAATACCATTCCCTCACTGGATTTTCATCCTTTAAGCCTTGTCCCGCTCCATTATCAGCCTGCCTGGGAGAAGTGGCAGAACCCAGAGCATGAGAGGCAAAGTAGGTAGGAGACAGAGCGGGGACTTCTCAACCTATAATTACTTATAAAAGGTGAAATAAACCCTTCATTTTAAAGAGGAAAATGAATGCGACAGCAAAGTGATGGGCTTTAGGAAATGCATCCACTCTATTTTAAGCTGTGGATGGCACAATTCTGATGTCAGCAAGTTGGCAGCTTTTACTTAGAAAAGCATTATTACAACGATTTCACATCTCATTATCTACTTATTTTTAAAAATGCACACTCACGATTTTATTGTTCATGGGCATTGCAAAGCAGTTACCTAGAGCTTCATCATTTAAATCTCATGCATATTGGTCTTTGTCTCCTATGAGTGTAATAGTGCTCAAGTGAGTTTAAATGAGATACATATATAATTTCCAGAAGGTGAGGTTTCTCACTGAATTTTCATAACATTTGCTCTTGTGTCCTCCATGTCAAGAATGAAAGATTATTTCAGAGAACAAGCAACATTGTTTGGATGGCCTGATCTAAGTGCAGACTGAAAATGAGCTGACTTTCCATGGCCATTTCCATGGATCGCCTTCTTTGCTTTGCTTCTCTTCCTATGTCAGCTTCTCTGAAGAAGACATAGAGTGCAGATGTTCATTATTCACTCATTTATTTGTTTCCATTCAAAAAACATTTATTAAAGTCCCCTTTACTATTTTATGTCACTGTCACAACATAGGAGTACACAAAGGATGATAATCTTTATGTTATTGGATTGAAAATTATTACTCAAGCAATAATGTAATAAGAAATATAATTATCAAATTACACTGCATTTTATTCAATATGCTTCTCCCAGAGTCTCACACACTTACCTAACTCTGTTAGGTCAGACTTGAGTCCTAACTTATGCGCAACTGGTCGGCACTCATTAGTACATGGGAATCACATGAGGGTAGTCAGCTCTTCAATCAAAAGCCAGCTTCGTGTTAGTTAGGGAGATGATCTCACTGTTGAGTTATAACGCCCGCTTTTATTTCTCATACAAATATATCACTTTGTCTGTTTTCTTCTTTCAAACAGCCAGTATATACTTAATAATCGTGTATGTTAAAGGATTTTATCTATGTTCTTTGATTTATAAAGCATGTTACTCATATTATTATTTTAGGTAGCATGCCAATTCTTTTTATGAATATAAAAATAACAAAATGTTTTAAAATTAGTGCATTTGTCATTTTGTCCCAATCAACCGGAGTAGACACTTTGGAGTTATCTTTGATTATCTTCACTCTCCTCCCACATATTCAGTTGAGCCTTGGAAAGATGGATATCGGTCAGGGCCACATAACAAGGTCACAGTGAAACCACTAATTTTACAGTTTTGGGCTTAATATTATTTACTTTCAACTGCACATGGATAAATTGAAATCATACTTAAAGCAATATTGAAGAAAGCAGTTTACTGTGAACATTGATGCCAAACCCCAGAATATAAATAAACATAATATTAAATGATTCACACGTGCACACACATACAGAGAGATACACACACACATCCTTATCTAGTCCTCACCATGACTCTGCAAACTGATGCTCACCTACTCAGTATTTGCTTGCACCAACTATCAGTTCAAAACGTTGCAAAGTACCCTGTGTCCTCAGAAAATAGAGATCTTCTCAGCCTGATATTCAAGTCTTGCAGAACCTGGCCTCAGCTAAACTCTCAACTAAAACACGTCCACTTGTCTAGCTAGACTGGCTGATGGCCTGCCCTTTATGTATCATTTGCCTATTTTAACTTTCAGACTGTGTTCACAGTGTCCACCTCCCACCCACCCCATCATACCTATCCTGAACATCCCTCAAACTTTCACTTAACAGCCCAATTCACAGTAATCACTCTGTCTTCTGAATTCCTGCAGTGATTTTTCTTCCTAATCATGGAAACTTAATTATGTGCTGTCCTGTATCATAGGCTCTTTTTTATTGGTGTTTGAAAAATCTCTTTGAGTAGAGCTAGTCCTGAAAGCAAGATTTTTTTTTCTTTTTCTTGGAGTTACCAGTGTGCCAAGCACAGAATTTTATACAAAATTTTAGCACTTTAGATGAATTACCACTTTGATGAATTGATACAGCACAAAGGTAAGCAAAATCCCTCAGAATATTTTTCCAAAATATATCCTGGTATGTAATTTTTTATAATCCTTTGTTGGTCTGAATAAGTCACTCTGTATTCCAATAAACCTAGGGGGTATTCAGAACAAAAGAACCACGTTCTGTAATCTGACATGCCGTTGAATTAACATGACCCTTTGGTGATTTTTTTTATTTGAAACTAAAATATTTATCCCTGCCCTATTCATGAAAGAAATGTCTCTCTTTTAACTACTTGAAAACTGCAACATGCAGTTATGGGAAGTGTCCATTAAGACGGGAGGATTGTGTCATTCTCTTTGGCTGAAGAGTTCCGGTAGCAGCCGGTTTTCTTCCAGTCCTTAAATCTCACAGCATTCTGCCTGTTTCCACGTGGCATTGTATGAGTGAGGAAATTATTGTAGCACATATTGACAAACACTTGGCTGATGATACAGGTCTGTGATAATAATATTTGTGACTGCTATTGATCCCACAACTCAATTGACCATTTGCTAACTAATATGTTAACTGGACATGAAAAAGAAGCATTAATAAAGACTTTTAAAGTAAACTATTTGACTTCCTGTTCATGTGAGATGGAGCAGATTCATTTCTTATGGCTCTTTTCCTTTCCCCTGTGAGTACAACTTTAACCCCTGGGAACAGCACAAGATGAAATCAAAAGCAAACTTGTAAAGGTGGATAGAGGAAGGAGAACTTGTTAGAAACCCCAGAACTAAAGGAATCACATAGTGGCAGAGTGTCTTGGGACCACCCACTCAACAGCAGAAGGGAAACCATGTCTGGCATCTCCCAACTCTAAACTAGCAACAGAAGGCAGTCTAGGTATGCTCGTTCCTCTGGATAATTGAACTAGAGTCTCAATGACAACACAGGTGAGTCAGGCAGCACAGGGGAGAGGACCTATTGCATACCCTGTTAAAAATAAGAAGCACACCAACACTGAGGCTCTTTTTCCCCCACAGAGAGACACCTGGCAGGTGGCAGATTCCAGCAAGGGTAATCCGGCCACAACAAGCACCTGGTCCAGGGAGCATCTTTGTTCTCTTATGAATGAGACTCCCCTCTGCTACCTAGAGAAAACAAGTTGCTGGTCTGGCTGGCAAAAGGGATCCCCCTACAACAAATGACCCAGCCTGCAAAGCTTTATCATCTCAAAGGAAATAAAATATTCAGAGACCTGAATGAAAAGAAAAATATAACATATCAAATATACGGGATGCAAATAAAGCAGTGCTAATAGGCAAATTGATAGCTAATAGTAGAAAAGAGGAAAGGTCACAAATCAATAATCTAAGTTCTAACATCAGGAAACTAGAAAAAGAAAAGCAAAATAAACCCAAAACAAACAGAAGGAAGGAAATAATAAAAATAACAAGAGAAATCAATGAAATTAAAAACAGGGAAACAATTGAGATAATAAATGAAGCAAATATCTAGTTATTAGAAAGAACCACTGTAATTGATAAAACTTCAACAAGACTATCAAAGGTAAAGAAAAAACAGCAATCACTAATATCAGGAATTAAACAGCGAATATTGCTACTGATCTTACAGGCAATAAAAGAATTATAAGGAAATATAAACAACTTCATGTATGCTCATAAATGTGACAACTAGAAGACATAGACCAATTCCTCAAAAACTACAAACAACCAAAACTCAAGAAGGATGAAGATTATCTGAATGGTTCTATAACCATTAAATAAATACAATTTGTAATTTAAAAGCTCTCAAAGGAAATATTTATGATCCAATGGTATCACTGGAGAATTCTACCAAACATTTAAAACAGCAATTAAAACCATTTTGTACGTTTTCTTACCAAAAAACTGAATCTGGGGTGTAATTCCCAGCTCATTTTACGAGGCCCGTATTACCTTGATAACCCAAACTAGAAAAATACAGCAATAAAAGAAAACTACTGACTAATATCTCTCATAAAATTACACACACAAAAATCCTCAATGAAACATCAACAAGTCAAACCTAACAAGGTATAAAATGAATTTTACACCATGATTAAATAAGATTTACTTCAGGTATACAAGGCTAGTTCAACATGTGAAATCAATCAGTGTAATCAACCTTATTAATAGACTAGAAAAGAAACTGCAAATGATCATATCCATTAGTGCTGAAAAAGTGTTTGACAAAACCCAAAACCCATTCATGATAAAAACTCTAAGTTAGGAATACAGAAAATTATTTTAACAAAGAATAGCTACAAAACATCTATAGCCAGCAACATACTTAATTGGTGAATGCTATTTCCTAATATCACCACTCTTATTTAACACAGAATTGAAAGTTCTGCCCACTTCAATAGAGCAAAAAAAAAAAAAAAAAAAGCATACCAATTGTAAAGGAAGAAAAAATACTGTCTTTATTTGCAGATGACATGATAATCTACTTAAAAATTTCAGGGAATCTACAAAAAAAAACCCTCTTAGAACTAATAAGTATGTTTAGCAAGGTCACAGGACACAATTTCAACAGCAAAAAATAATTGCATTTCTACATACTAAGAATGACCATGTCAAAACTTAAATTAAAAACAATAACAATTACAGTAACTCCAAAGGAAATGAAATATGTCGATATAAACTTCACAAAATATGTAAAAAACCAATATGCTGAAAATTACGAAGTCCAGTGAAAAAAATCAAAGACCTCAATAAATGGAAAGACACACTGTGTTCATATATTGGAAGACTTAACATAGTAAAGATGCCTCTTCTTCTCAAATTGACTATGGATTTAATGTAACTTCTATCAAAAATTCAGGAAGCTTTCATCTGTTGACCTAGACAAGCACATTTTAAAATTTATGGAAAGATACAAACTCCAGAATAACTAAAAATAACTTGAAAAAGAAGAATAAGGTGAGAGGAAACACTGTACTCAATATTAAGGCTAACTACATAGCTACAGTCATCAAACTGTATGGTATTGATAAGAAGATAGATGCATAGGCCAGGCACGGTGGCTCACGCCGACTGTAATCCCAGCACTTTGGGAGGCCGAGGCAGGCAGATCACGAGGTCAGGCAATCGAGACCATCCTGGCTAACACAGTGAAACCCCATCTCTACTAAAAATACAAAAAAAAAAAAAAAAAATAGCCGGGTGTGGTGGCGGGCGCCTGTAGTCCCAGCTACTCGGGTGGCTGAGGGAGGAGGATGGCATGAACCCGGGAGGCGGAGCTGGCAGTGAGCCAAGATTGCGCCACTGCTCCCCAGCCTGGGCGACAGAGCAAGACTCCGTCTCAAAAAAAAAAAAAAAAAAAGAATGTAGATGCATGGATCAGTGGAACAGAACACAGTACTCAAAAATGACATAAATATACCTAACCAGTCCCAGGAACACAAGCAGGCTGTAGTATGAGAGGAACCCTATTGTGTGCTTCTTTGATCACACACTTTATTTTTTGATCCACCAGACTGTTTCATCCAGAGTGGAGCGAAGTTGCAAAAGCAACCCAATATACAAAAGATAGCCTTTTCAACAAATAATATGAAAGTCATTGGACATCCACGTGCACCACATAATTTAAACAAAAATTAACTCACAATGGAGACATAAACATGTAATACTATAAAACTTTTAGGAAAAATTTATAAGAAAAATTTGGAAATCTATGACTAAGGAAATAGCTCTTAGACTTGAAACCAAGAACATGATTAAAAAGGAAAAATGATAAATTGCACCTCATTAACATTAAAAATTTTTGGACAAAAAAAAGTTACTGTGAGAGAATATGTGCAAACCATGTGTCTGACAAAGGACTAGTATCTAGAATACATAAATAACTCAATACGCAACAGTAAATATAAATCCAATTTAAAAACGGACAAAGGACAGGAACCTCCATTTCACAAAAAAGGACATACATATATCAAACTTAAAAGCTTCTGCACAGCAATCTATACAATTAACATAGTGAGGAGACAACCCATGGATTAGGAGAAAATATTTGCAACCCAGACATCTGACAAGGAGCTAATATCCAAAATACATAAGGAACTCAAACAACTCAATAGTAGGAAAACAATGAACTCAATTAAAAAATGAGTAAATGACTTGAACACACATTCCTGAAAAGAAAACATTGAAGTGACCAATAGATATATGAAAAAGGCAATAATCATCAGGAAAATGCAAATTAAAGCCACAATGAGATATCACCTCATACCTGTTAGAATAGCTATTATCAAAAAGACAGAAGGTAATTAGTGTTGATAAGGATGTGGAGAAAAGAGAACCCTTGTACACTGTTGCTAAGGAGGTAAACTAGTACAGCCATAGGAAAAAGACATAGGAGTTTCCTCTAAAAACTAAAAATAGAATTTCTATTCTATTTTTCAATATATTTTTGGATAAATCTGGATATATATCCAGATTTGGGTATATATCCAAAGGAATTGAAGTCAGTATGTCAAGGAGTTATCTGTACTCTTATCTTCATTGCAGCATTATTCATAATAGCTAAGACATGGCAGCAAACTAAGTGTCCATCAACAGATGAATGGATAAAGAAATGTGATGTGTATATACCGTGGAATACTATTCAGCTTTTACAAAGAAAGAAGTTATCTTATTTATGCCAACATGGATGAACCTGGAGGACACTATGCTAACTGAAATAAACTAGGCACAGACAGACCAATACTGCATGATCTCATGTACATGTAGAATATTCAGAAAGATAGAACTCAGAGAAGTGGAGAGTAGCATAGTGGTTACCATGGGCTGGGCAGTGTGGGGAGACAATAGGGAGATGCTGGTCTTAGTCTTTGTGGAAAAAGTTTTGTTTAGATGGGAGGAATAAATTTTAGAGATCTATTGCACAGCACAGTGACTATAGTTAATGTATTGTATATTTCTAAATTGCTGAAAGAGTGGATTTTAAAAGTTCTCACAACAATAATGATAAATATGTGAAGTGATGTGTATGTTGATTAGCTTGATTAATCATTCCACAATGTATATATGAATACATTGTGGAGTGATTAAATGATAAAACATCACATGGTACCCCATAAATATATACAGTTATTATCTGTAATTAAAAATGACATAAACTTTAAAATAATACAATAATAAACAAAAAAGGATATATAGATGGCACACAAGCACATAGAAATACACTCAACATCCTTAGCCATTAAGGAATTGCACATTAAAACCACACTATACACTATACACCTATCAAAGTGGCTAAAATAAAAACCAGTGACAATACCAAATATTAGCAAGGTTGCTGAGAAACTGGATCACTTACACATTACTTGTGAGAATGTAGAATGGGATAGCCACTCTGGGAACCCACTTAGCAGTTTCTTATAAAACTAAATATTCAACTACCATACAACCCAACAATTACATTCTTGAACATTTATTCCAAAGAAATCAACATTTGTGTTCCACAAAACTGAAACACAAGTGTTCATAGAAGCTCTAGTCACTCAACAAGTGACTGGTTAAACAAACTGCGGTACATCTATACCTTGGAATTCTAATCAATGATAAAATAGAACAAATTCTTGATACAAACAACTATTTTGGATGACTCTCTAGAGATTTACACAGAGTGAGGAAAAAACTAATACAAAAGGTTACATACTGCATGATTCTATTCATACAATATTCTTGAAATCATAAAATCATAGACAAAATGAACTGGGTTAGGAGCGGGGTGGTGTGAGGGTAGTTGGTGTGGTCAGAAAATGACAACACAGGGATCTTTGTGATGCCAGAACTGTTGACTATCTTGACAATCAATGTGAGTATCGTGATTGTGATATTGTAGTGAAATTTTGCAAGATGTTATTCAGGGAAACTGAGTAATTGTCTCCTGGATCTCTCTGTAATATGTTTTATAACTGCATGTAGAGTTACAGTTATTTTAAAATAAATATTTTAGTTTAATTTTTTTTTAAAAAAAAGAATGTTGGATGGGTGATGTCATTACAGTCATCATTGGAAACAATAGCTGCCACCCAGTCCAGCAGGAAGTGCAGGGTTCCCTCTGGCAGGCCAAACACTGCTGTTCATCCTCCAGAGCAATACCCCTTGGAGGAAAACAGTTGACTTGCTAAGGAGCCCATTCTGACACTCCTCATAACAAGGGTGACATGTAATCCTGCTGCTTTCTCCAGTGTCCCCTGTGCTCCTGAATTTTACTACTGCTTATTACTCCAGGTCATCTTGGATTCTTTGAAGCTTTTCTCCTACACCAAAACTAGCAGAGGAGAAAGTGATAGCTTGAGGATGACTGCTTTCTTAGCACCTCTGAGTTCATTTCCTCCTGAAACAGGCGCAGCCTGAGAGTTACGGAGGAAAAGACAGGGCTGGAAGCCTGCTTTTAGCATCCTACATTTTCTTGAACACCTCCAATCTTTTTGCTGGGGCAATCCTAGCTCTCCCATCAAGAGAGCTGGGGACTGGAGAGAGGGTATGGGAGAGAGCACATGTATGCCAGCCAGGATACTTTAAAAAGCCACCGGCCCCAGAATCAGCAGAAAGTCCTGTGAAAGGAAATGCACTGTGTGCCCCTCATCGAACACATTTTGTTTTCTTGTGCTCCAGAACTGTTCCATCCCTGGAAAATTGCAGGCATGAAATAAATGTGAGTTCTTCCACATCAATTCTCCGTCCCCAGATTTCTTAACTTTGAAATAAAGAGAAAGCTATTATTTCACTACAGGTTTCATTTTTTATTTGTTAGAATCCTTAGACTTTATCTCAGATTCTTTTTATCTTTCTCCAGCTGGTGTGCCTGGGAAGAAGATCATAGCTTTTATTTACAGGAGACAGGAAACAGGTGCTGCCATCTAGGAAATTGTAGGAGGCTATAGGACTTCCCCTTAGTCGAAAGAACTCTTTAAGCAAGACTTTATTTTACATGTTTGTAAACATGGTGACTGCTCCTTGAACAGTATACTCAGGGGCCTAAGTTTATTAGGAAGCATGGACCTTCCTGTCAATAACCAACCCTACTGGTTTCTCTGCTCCAGGTTTCAGCCCTATTGTGTCCTATACTAATGGATCTCAACACTAAAATCACCTGAGAGCCTTAAAAATATACAGACAGTTTCCACAGAGGAATTTCTTGTGTAGTTTGGTCTGGGGTGGATCCTAAGTGTCATGGGTTTGAAAGGTCTCCAAGAGTTCCTGTGCAGCTAGGGTTGAGTCAATGGTCTAGAGTGAAAAGTGGTTTTCCTCAAATGCAGCTGTGACCCTATTTCTCACTTTCATAACCCAGGTAATGGCTTCTCAGGACAGACCCATTTCTGGGCAGTTTTTAAAGTGCAGATGTCCTATTCTGGAACCATTAAATCTGAATCAGAGGGCATTGTTGAAAAGCCTTAGAGATAATTATAGGCCCCACCCTGGCTAAGAAGCATTGATATTAGAATCTAAAATCTAAATTGCCTTAGTATACCTTTCAAGACCCTCTTTTCCATAACTGTCCACTGCCAGCCTTTTTCAATAGCTGTTTCATATGCACACCTATTTCCAGCTTTATGAAATGATCTGCATTTCTCTCAGTGGAAGCCCTCACTTCCTACAGCAGCTCCCCCACCTCACTTTCCCTCTACCTCTCTGGCCACTCATTTTCTGTCCGTTTTGCAAACTCCTTTTCCTCTAAGAAAGGAATCACATAATTACCCAAGGCTCTGAATCACAGTGTGTAAGTCAGTATTTATTTTTAATGAATGAAATAAACGTATCATATATTTTTACAATTTCAGACATGTTGCATGCTTTATTTTCTGCTAGGACTACCCTTTTATCCCTTCCCTTTTAAACTTTTAAACTTCCATTTATCATTTAAAGTTCAATTCACCTTTCTACTTCTTCTATATAAAGTAATAGTAAAGTTAGGCACTCTCTTATGGATTGATTTATTCATAGTAGAAGCTTTATTGGAGGGTTTGTTATAAATGATTACTTGTTTACCCATCTGCCTCCACCCAGTAAATAGTGAAATCTTTAAAGATTGGAGGATGAAAGAAGACATTGAATACTGTGAGTGGCAGAGTTAATACTTTTTAGTGAATGGACTTAAGAAATACTACCTTGTGTCTGCTCTGTGCAAGAGTCCATGCTACTTAGATGAATTAGTGACGTTATCTAATTTGTTTTGCTCTTGCAATGGAAATGTGGCCTTGTTATTTCTCATATTTTAAGGAGAAACAATAAAAATATTTACCCTCAAATTTCTTCTCAGAGATGTAAGAGTTGATTAGAAGAATGTTTATGATGTATGTTTAAATCCTTAGAAATCTCCTTTGAGAAAGGCAAAGCTGTAAATTGATATGAGATAGCAATCAATTATTTTTGCTCTTGTCTCCCAGGCTGGAGTGCAGTGGCCTGATCTCGGCTCACTGCAACCTCTGCCTCCTGGGTTCAAGTGATTTTCCTGGATAAGATTATGCTCTTTTTTTTTTTTTTTTTTTTTGAGACGAAGTCTTACTCTTGCCCAGGCTAGAGTTCAGTGGTGAGATCCGGCTCACTGCAAGCTCCACCTCCTGGGTTCAAGCGATTCTCCTGCCTCAGCCCCACGAGTAGCTGGGACTATGGGTGCCCGCCACCACACCCGGCTAATTTTTTTTGTATTTTTAGTAGAGACGGGGTTTCACCGTGTTAGCCAGGATGGTCTCGATCTCCTGACCTTGTGATCTGCCCACCTTGACCTCCCAAAGTGCTGGATTTACAGGCGTGAGCCACCGTGCCCAGCCAAGACTATGTTCTTAACCAAACAAGAGCTGCCTGGAAATTTTAATTCCACTTACTAGAAATAGTTTTGTGCAGGACTATCTATCCATCTCCCCATCTTCTCTGTCCTGCCTCAGTTCTTGGTGTTCTGGGACATTGAGCATAATGCCTGGTAGTCATCAAATACTCAATAGGTTGTAATAACAATTACAGTCGTCATGATTATAATAATATAGTTAATATCTTCTTTTTTTTTTTTTTTTTTTTTTTTTGAGATGGAGTCTCTGTTGCCCAGGCTGGAGTGCAGTGGCTCAATCTTGACTCACTGTAATCTCCACCTCCTGGGTTCAAGCGACTCTCCTGCCTTAGCCTCCCAAGTAGCTGAGATTATAGGCACTGGCTGCCACCATGCCTGGCTAATTTTTGTATTTTTAGTAGAGACACGGTTTCACCATGTTGGCCAGGCTGGTCTCAAACTCCTAACCTCAAGTGATCCGCCTGCCTCAGCCTCCCAAAGTGCTGGGATTACAGGCTGAGCCACCACACCTGGCCACCAGTAAATATCTTTTGAAGACTTTCAAGCACATAGGTTTTTATTTTATTTTTTGTTTTGTTCTGTTTTCTCCAAATTACCTTACAAAAACAAGCTTCCAAAGGAGTCAGGCCCAGGGTTAACAATTCACTTACACAGTAATGTCAGGCTTTTGGATCTGTTTCTCTGTGCAGCTCTTGGCTTTCTCCTCATGATTACAAGGTGGCTGCTGCAGTCCCAAGCATCCCATCTTCAGACAACATCTCCAGAAACAAGAAGGAGAAGAGGTTTTTTTTCTAGATATACCTTATTTCTTTTTCACAAAGAAACACTTTTTCCCAGAAGCCCCAACAGACTCCTCCCAGCTCCCATTAAGGCAGAATGGAATCATGAGCCCATCTCTTAACCAACTCCTGGTAAAGAGTCATGGGGTTGCTAGAACTGACTTAGTCCTATCAAGTCTCATCTTTTGACCCTGGGGAAGAAACTCACCTACCTTGAACACTTTATTACTCAATACCTGGACAAAATCTGATTCTCTTAGGTAGGGATAAGGAGAGGAAGCTCTTAGCAGAGCACTGTCTGTCTCAGGTAGGTATTCTTCTTATTCTCATTGAATAAATGGGAAAACTGAAGCTCAGGGGAGTTGAGTAACAAACTCAAGGTCACACAGAAAGCATGTGGCATAGATGGGACTTGGACCCAGCCTCAATCAAGTGATTTCAGAGTCCAGACTCTCTTCAACTAAGCTGTACAGTTCACGGTTCATATGTGACGCATCATACAAGTCCCAGGGGGCTATCCTCTGGGAAAGGGAGAAAACCAGTATTCTTTATTACTAATCCTCCATAAAAATATTCTAGATCCTCACTGAAGGGCAGAGGGACATGGGGCCTGTGGAACTCCAGGAAGAGAAGGCCTCGGCATTCCGTCCTCCCCTCATCCCTGAGTATTGTGGAAAATGGAGCAGCACCTTCCGGAGAGTGAGGCCGGTAGGCAGGGCCACAGGATGAGGAGAGGACCCTCTCCACCATTCCCCAGGGAACAAGAAATAACCAGGCTCTGGGAGGGAATGGCAGGTCCAGGGCCCAGGAGCTCTTGCCCACAACTGCGATAGCTGTGAGATGAGCTTGGGAATGGAAATAGAGTTCATGGGGCCACAGTGCCTCTTGGGGAGATTACTGCATAAGGAGGAGTCACATATGTTTTGTCTCAGCATCAGTAGAGCCTCTGCAGGCCCACAGCTCAGGGCTGCCAGCCCACTCCCTTCTCAATTTTGGCAAGATGTCCGGTCTGCGGTGGTGGTCTGTACCTGAGCAATCTCTAAGTCTGGAGAGGGAAAGCCTGCAGATCCCACCTGGCCAATTTACCTTATGCTTCTTAGTCTGTCATTCAAAGCCTTTCATCACCTCATCCCTTTTCCAAATCTACTTATAACAATAAACCAGTTCACATGAGTTGCCCCTAAGTGTTTTGCCAAATATCTACCCACACATGTGTTTTTATTAGATTTCCTCTGACTACATAATCTTTGGTGTCTCTCTGATTAAATTAATTCTGTTTATCCATAAAGGTGTTTGATAAATGTTGCTGGTTCAATCACCTAACAATTTGCATGTGTGGGCACATATGGGTACATGCACTCAAACACACACACAGGTTAGATGGTTAGGATACACCACACCAAAATAAATTCTAAATGGAGAAAACATTATATATTTTTATAGGAAACAATAAAACATCTAGAAGGAAAAAAATGTGAATTTTCAATAACATTTTTTGGGAAAAAGTTTAGTGCATAGCAAAAAAAAAAAAAAAACAACCCAGAAACCATGAGAGGAACATAAGGAAACATGAAAAACTAAATATGTGAACACTCAATGTAAAAAAGGAAAGATTTTTTTTAAAACTAAAAAATATTGTGACATATATTCAACAAATTGTTATTCATTTTAACATATAAAGAGCTCTTACATGTAACAGAAAACCATAGCAGCAGTAATGCAGATAGGCTAAGGCTTTGGAATAGCTAATTTATAGAAAATAAGTTTCCAATAAATAGAAAATAGGTCAGTATTTATTGTAACTACAGAAGTGCAAGTTAAAATTACGCAGTGTATTTTTAAACCTCGAAGTGAAAAGTTAAATCTCTAATTGTAATACCTGTGTTGGTGAGGGTTCAGAATAACGTGACTCTTATAGCAATAAAACTATAAATTGGCTCAGCTCTTCCAAGTATACAATTTTGGCATCACAGTGGTGCAAAGGTCATAACAGTTTTTGCATTGTTGAGATTTGCCGTTTGATATTGGAATACATTCTTAAATAAATGTGGTTATGTTATATATCATTTTAATGCACACGTCTCACTTTGTTTTTTGATAATGACTTATTACATGCTGTATATTTTACATTTATCTTAGACTATGGAAATGATGTTAGACAAAAAGCCAATTTGAACAAGTTTCTTATTCAAGTTCAAAATGGGTCATAAAGCAGCAGAGACAACTCGCAACATCAACAACACATTGGGCCCAGGAACTGCTAATGAACATACAGTGCAGTGGTGGTTCAAGAAGTTTTGCCAAGGAGACAAAAGCCTTGAAGATGAGGAGGGGCTAGGCACGGTGGCTCATGCCTGTAATCCCAACACTTTGGGAGGCCGAGGCAGGTGGATCACCTGAGGTCAGGAGTTTGAGACCAGCCTGGGCAACATAGTGAAACCCCGTCTCTACTAAAAACACAAAAAATTAGCTGGGTGTGGTGGTGCCTGTAATATCAGCTACTCAAGAGGCTGAGGAAGGAGAATCACTTGAACCTGGGAGGTGGAGGTTGCAGTGAGCTGAGACTGTGTCACTGCACTCAGGCCTGGGAAACAGAGTGAGACTTCACTTCCAAAAAAAATTTAAAAAAAAAAAAGAAAAAGAAAAAGAAGATGAGGAGTGTAGTGGCCGGCCACCAAAAGTTGACAAGGACCAATTGAGAGCAATCATCAAAGTTGATCCTCTTATAACTACATGAGAAGTTGCTGAAGAACTCCGTATCGACCATTCTACAGTCATTTGGCATTTGAAGCAAACTGGAAAGGTGAAAAAGCTCGCTAAGTGGGTGCCTCATCAGCTGAGCAAAAATAAAAATAATAATCGTCGTTTTGAAGTGTTGTCTTCTCTTATTCTATGCAACAACAATGAACCAGTTCTCAATTGGATTGTGACGTGCACGAAAAGTGGATTTTATGTGACAACCAGCGACCACCAGCTCAGTGGTTGGACTGGGAAGAAGCTCCAAAGCACTTGCCAAAGCCAAAGTTGCACCAAGAAAAAGGTCTTGGTCACTGTTTGTTGGTCTGCCGCTGGTATGATCTGCTACAGCTTTCTGAATCCCGGCGAAACCATTACATCTGAGAAGTATGCAAATCGATAACATGCACTGAAAACTGCAGGGCCTGCAGCTGGCATCGGTCAACAGAAAGGGCCCAGTTCTTCTCCACGACAATGCCCGGCCACACGTGGCACAACCAACGCTTCAAATTTGGAATGAATTGGGCTATGAAATTTTGCCTCATCTGCCATATTCACCTGACCTCTCGCCAAACAACTACCATTTCTTTAAGCATCTTGACAACTTTTTGAAGGGAAAATGCTTCCACAACCAGCAGGATGCAGAAAATACTTTCCAAGCGTTCGTTGAATCCTGAAGCATGAATTTTTACACCACAGGAAAAAAAAAACTTACTTCTTGTTGGCAAAAAATGCATTAATTATAATGGTTCCTATATTGATTAATAAAGATGTGTTTGAGCCTAGTTATAATGATTTAAAATTCACAGTCTGAAACAGCAATTACTTTTGCACCACATTAAAAAGTTTTAAATATAGACCTGTATACTCTTTGATTTAATTATTTCACCTTTAGGAATTTATCCTTAGGAAATCATTAGCAAAGATATGTCTGCAGGAATTTTCATTGCTGCATTGCCGAAGACAGGAAAATCAATAACCTAAATATTTATCAGTAGACACTCAAATTATGATGGTACATAAGGTTAGTTGGAATGAAAATACAACCATTTAAGTGGAAAGTAGTAAAATGAATTAATTTTAGAGGAAAATTTCACAATATATTGTTATTAACAAAATTGTTCAAAAATATATTTTAAAAATATATGTGTGCCTGTATATACACATGGTACACGTAAAGGGTCTTCTGCGTGTTTTTCTATTTTCTCTAAATTCTCTATAATTAAAATATATTACTTTTGTAATGAAATAAATTTATCTTTATCCTATCCCTCTTTCCAGGCCCTCTTCACCTATAATTTTCACAAAATGTTCTCTGATTTTCCCAAAGAGGGCATTTCTTCTATGAAGTTCTATAGCATTCATTGTTTATATAAAACTCATAAAATATTTATGAAATCCCACATGAGTTGTACGTTTTGTTACTGTTGTTATTTTTCTCTGAACAAGGCCTGTCTTCCCTACGAAACTATCAGCTCCTAAAAGTCCAGAACTTGACATTGTGCTTTTGTATTCTCTATAAAATATTTAGTAATTCATGTGTTCAGGAAATGAATCCATTTCAATGAAGTTTTATCCTTATGTAAAGCTTTCTGAAATATTGTATGAAGAGTAATCCTACAAATAAAAGAAGAGTAAGAATGCTAATGTCCTTTTACCTGGGGAGGAAACTGAAACTCAAGGTTTAAAAATACATCTAGTTTATGTCAGAACCAGATTGAACCTAGCTTTGCAAACCTCTAGACCTCATTTTCTCCCACTCTACCAGAAATAGCACACGTGCACCACGGGGATTGTTATTGTAATGGCACTTGTGATTCACACCGCCCAGTATCCATGCTTTTGTATCACTCCCTCTCGTCACCTCTGGGCTTGGCCATGTGACGTGCCTAAGCCAATGGAACATCACAAATTTGATGCTGGCAAAAACTTGACAAGGGCTTATACATTGAGGAGCCTGGCCTTCTTGGGACACTGCCAACATCATTAAAAAAATAAAAAATAAAAAATCCAGGCTATCCAGCTGAAGAGGCCACAGGAGGAGAACCAAGAAGCTCCAGAAGACAGCCACGTTAACTGCCAGGGATTTGCATGGGGCTGACTTGAATCATCCAGCCTCAGGCCAGCCACCAGTTGAAAGCAGTTGATTAAGGAACCCCAGGCCAAGACCAGAACTGCCCAGCTAAACTCAAACAGAAATACAGAAACCTAAGCAAATAAATGGTGTTATTTTAAGCCACTATGTTTTGGAGTCACGTATCGTAACAGGTACACATGTCTATCATGGCCTCCTAACCCTACTTGCAGCCCCAGCTGACAATATCCATCACAAAATATACCTAAGGAATCACAGCACTCTTTCCCATGGAGACCTGGCTTGATTTCAGCATCTTTCTCAACAAAGACTCTGAACAGACCTTTCCAATCGTAAAAGCCAACATATAAATGTAAAACTCTTTGCAATCTCTGAATAAGATAATCCTTTCTCTTATCTAATGGGGCAAATTGAGACAGACAATGTTTTGAGTAAGATTTAAATGTAAGCGTCAGATCGCTCCAAAATTTAATCTGAGTTAGATTCATTTTTAGAATCAAGGGAGCTCTACTGCTAATTCATCCATCCATAATCGCACGATGAGATGGATGGCAAGATGCATCCCGCTGACCTCCATATTATGGCTGAACTGGTAAGTGGTGGCCTCTTCTCTAGGTTTCCAAGGTGAGAAAGGAAGGTGAGGGTTGAATGATAATTACCCTTTGCTGTATATTCCACACACCCCACCCTCCCATTGAGGCAAAGACTTTAACATCAAAATCCTAAAAGCCTCAGTGGAAGTCAGTACGGTGGCCCAACTTTCCTTTAGGAAGATTTGACCATCTGTGACTCACTTTCCTCATCTGTAAATTGAAGACTGTTACATCTGTCCCTTATGGGATATTATAATAGCAAACGAGGTAGTATACAAGAAAACATTTCTTCAGAGGAAAGCAGCTGTAATTATCATGATTTAAGAGAACACAGAAATTGCTGTGTTCCGTTCTGTTTACCAAAATGTGATACATCTTCCTATTGTTGTCAATTGAATTCCTACTAGGTATGTGAATTTTTAGTTTTCTTTACAATGATTTCAATGAAACCATAATTTAGCTGTTTTACTATCAGTCCAGCTGTTTTATCATCAGTAATTTCAGTTTGGGTAAAGTCGTTTTCTGATAAATTGTATATGGTTTGGAAACTCTCTAGTATTTCTTTGAGAAATAATTTCCTTTTATACGTTAAAATTAAAAAAAAAAGTTTGTAGTCAATGATATTTTATAAAAACAAAAGATTTATCAATAAAATTTTTCAATAGTTATCATATCTAGAACTGCAAATGTTTATGTTTTCAGGCTGAATTAAAAGTTTAACTGCACTAGTAGACAAACTTTTCAGCTATCTATGACTTAACGGAAACTTTTTCTTAAACCGAAAATGCAAATGTGAAAGCATTCCTAGTGATTAAAAAGTCTCATAATCAGTTGTGAATCCTAAAAATTTTCATACAGAAAAATATCTTACTGTCATTTCAGAAACTTCCAGTTTCTTCCTCAAACTAAAACAATAAAAAAAGATGTTCATGTCATTTCTCATTTTAATGCTTAGTTTAAGTCATAAACTCAGCAAAATAAAGTGAGTTGAGGCAATATACAAATAAATAAATCCCAAGTCCCCTTTTCTTTTCTTTCTTAGATGATCATTCTCTAGTTAAACTTTCATTATTAACTAAATTTTAATAAACTTTAGTCAAATTTTCATATTCCTTTTAATCGTGTGCAGTGTAGATCCCTGAACATTGAATGCAAACCTGTGCAAATTTTTGAAGTCCAAACTTGAATGCAAATAGTTTCATAGCAACTTCATTTCTTACTATGTCTTACCTTTTTGTCTTACTTGCTCTCTCCTAACCCCATAAGGGCAGTTGGGTAGATAGTAGTATTATCCATGTCTTAGAGATGATGCATGCCGAGCCTGGAGAGATTACTCTGACTGAATAAACATCAACAGGGCCAAACTCAGTTGTCTGGACTTCTAGCCATTGAGTAATGGAAACATGGAGGGAACTTCTTTCCAGAATGGTGTGGTTAGCATGCAGATTTCCAGGCCCCACTGGCACTTCAGTGGGCACCTTTAGCTCAGCCACAAAACAACTTCCTCTTGGGTCAGGGTCAACAGCTGTGCTCTGGGGAGCTGCTGCACTTTTGAAATCTCTTTTCCCTGACTTGTGTCAAAGCTCACAAAACAATTATTTACCTCGGTTTCCCAGCAGTTTCTGCAAGACTTGCAAGACTTGTATTACCTACATGCTCTGTAAGTCTGAATTGCCAAGTTAAACTTTGTGAGGGAACTGATGGATAAGCCTGCTCCTGTCCCCAAGCCACCAGCTGCAACCTGCACTTACAAATCACCTTGAATTGAGTCCAGTCTTCTTTGGGTGGATGCATGTGCTGTTACAACCTCTCTAGTAAGGTGCAAGGGTCATTCTGCAGGACCTGAGCAACTGGAATAACGTGGAGTGATCAAGCCTCTTTAGAGGTTGGGGGAGCACATTTTGTTAAAGAGTATCTGCTCTTGATGGTCTTAGATTGGACCCAATTTGACCTAGTAAAACTCTGTGGAATGAACAGGAGGATGAAGGCTATGAAGGGAATTCACAGAAGTTATTGCCAAAAGATGCCAAGGAGTGGTGGGACAATGGCCAGGCAGGACATCCCCCTATACCTGGGGAATAAGCTCTCTTGTAGAGAAGTAAAGACAGTCTTGCTTACCACAATACAGCTTATCTGAGACCCTCATGATGCCCCTGATCTGACGCCAGATTCATCAGAACCTTCTAAGACACTGAACTTCAGCCAAGAGCTCTCCAAATATAAGCCTACAGAGCTACTCTTATTTAAATTAGTTACCTAGCGTCCTAGAATATTCACTTTAAAATAAAATCCAGCCATGTGTTCACCAGTTAAGGAGAACAGATTCTTGCTGCATTTACAATGTGGAGCAGAGTTTGGTGTCTGGATGGGAAGAGAAAGTGGCCCTGTCAAACGAAGAATGAAGTTGTTTGTTCTTGGAAGGTTGTCAATCAACAACTTTGAGTGCCTGCCTCTTTGCTCACTGCATAGCGCTGAGTGTTATGTTGAAAGCACGTGAGGAGCCAGGAGAAAGGAGCCGTATCATTACCCATTATCAAACCCAAAATACGATGTTTGTTTTCTCATGTGGAAATTATTCTGTGGGTGGGGTGAGAGGAGATAAATATATATATGAGTTAGTCAGCCAAAATGAGTAACTGAAATAATAACTTTTTAATGAAAAATGATTAGAATAAATAAAAATGTTCACCAAAACTAGGTCATTCTCTCAGGTCCTGGCTTTAAAAACTATTATGGCAGAACCCAGCGTTAGAGATCAGGATTCATGGTGCCATCCCTTTGCAGGGCATGGCTTTGTGCATCTGCCTGGATCGTTTGGGTCAGGGCAGTTCATCAAAATTGGGGAGCCTAAAATAAGCCCAGGGATTGAACAATCAGAGACATATTTGCAGAAACTTAGACTCATGGCATCCTAAAGCTTCTCAGCTTGGCCAATAAGACAAAATTTCAGTATAATAAGTGAGTTCACTTATAGCACTTAAGCCATATTTTCTAACCCAAATATTTGTTAGGGAGAAAACAAAAGAAAACTTAGAAATACAGAAATTAAACATGATTGACTCCTATGGACAGCTGAAGTCCAGCGAGGAGTTAGCCGGGTCTTGGAAAGGAGCACTATAAAATCACTTTTTATTTTGGACAAACTAGATCAACTCATAACATCTCATCATATAAGAGCTTCAGGTAAATGTTAAAGGAAACTTCAAAATAAGTGGATATTCATTCCTTTTCACCTGAGCAATGCCAAGAAACTACACCTGAGAATTATCTAGGCCCATGGCCTGGTTCCATGTTCTCTAAAATGTAATTACAGAACCTGGTACAAATTTCCACCTTCTCATCCAGTCACATCAACAACAAAAATATTTTGCAAATAGAGGTGGCTCTCGTAAGCCTCATCAACTGCCTCTGACCATAAATGTACAAAAGCTTCAAGGACCAAAGCGCCAAGTTGCAGCACAAAGTCAATCACTTGAGCCTATTCCCACAGTACAAAACAGGTGCACTCTAAGGCTTCCCCAAATACACATCAAATGCAGCACCAAGAACAATTTTCATAAAGTACACAAAAAGCACCTGGCTCCTGAGAACTCTCAATTCACTGGATTACAAATAGGGAACAATTGTGTGATTAGCAATCCTTGCTTCAAATGCTCAAATCCTCTTTTTCTGATTCTGTTAATCTCTGGTCATTTCTAGATATTGAACCCTAGTCCAACCAAATACAATTTAAAAGTTTTCATATGCCATCTGGTTCAAAGCATTCCTACTCCCTTGGTTCCATGAAAGTATAGATTTGTATATTTCTAGGAGCATGGAGCTGAGAAGAAAGCAGTTCATTTCCTCCCTTGCACTCATCTGAGTGTGTCTTCCTCCAGGATTGGGTAGTGAGGCATCCATGAAAGCTATCCGGAGGTGGCAGTGCCTGACATCTAGGGGAATAAATGCAGAAAGCCAAGATCCAGATGCAGAACGTGTCATTTCGAGGGAACTGCACAGGATTTTACATGGTAGGGACACAGTGCTCCCATGGGCATACGCCTAACATAGGAGGCACAGGACATCTGCCAACTTTGCAGAGGCTAGAAACATAGTTAAGTGGTAAAAACAATATAAAGCTTCCCAAATAAGTATTGAAATGTGCCCTGGTTCTATTTTTTCTTCCAATGCTATAAAATATACATTTTTAATAAAATTGAAATGGAAAGTAAAGGAAAATTAGGAGCACATAGGTGAAATTGAGCTCATGATAACACTACAACATCTCTTCCTAACTGATTTTAGATTCAACCACTTGCACACGCATTTCTGTTCATATCGATGATTGCAAGGTTTTCCACTGTTTGATGTACACAATTTTCCACTCACCTCCAATTGATCAATATTTCAACTTTGATTGTTTGAGATTTATTTTTTCTTATGTTTATTATTTGAAAACTTTTTCAAACAAAAGTGAGTGTTCTTATACTTTTACACAAGGATTTCTAATAGTTGACCAGGAAAGTCAAAGTGTGATGCTGATAGAAGTAGTGTGGAAATACAGAATATTTTGTCATCATAATAATTAATTCACCTGATGTGAAAATATAGAGAATGTAGCATCTGAAAACCTGAGAGTCTGTGCATGATTGAAACTGTAGTAATACACATCAAATTTTATAAAAACTTATGTCAAGGAAAGTTTAATTTCAACATAAAAAATTTAAGGTGAATCCCAAGGTTTAAAAGAATCTCATGTTTCTGGTTTTCAGTGATTGGTTTATAGTATTATATAGATTATGTGTGCTATTACCATATATGTCGATTCTCCAACAAAAATTCAGTTGTGGAAAAGAATTTCTTACATCATAAGCACTTTCCAATTAAAGAATAGCTCTGGAAATTTTCAGAAAACATAAAAAGTAAAATGCATGTGAAACATTGTAATGTTGACGTTACTGCCACTTTTTATGACATAATTATTGCTAACAAGTTATCAAGAGATCTTAGGGAAGATTTATGATTAAGAAGGCATGATAAGTAAATTTTGTTGGAGTACACAAAAATTTGGGGTGTTGTTAGAAATTATGATGAAAGTTAAAAAACAAGAAATATGTCCGACATGGGGGAACAACACACACTGGGGCCTATCAGAGACTGGAGGGTAGAAGGAGGTAGAGGATCAGGAAAAATAATGGACACTAGGCTTAATACCTGGGTGATGAAATAATTGATACAACAAACCCCCATGACACAAATTTACCTATGTAACAAACCTACACATCCTGCACATGTACCCCTGAACCTAAGTTTTTTAAAAAAAGAAATATGTGCAAGCTCTCAATCTCTTATAAAAGTGGGCAAATTCAAAATCAAATTATTTGAACAATAAAGATTTTTAAAATCTCAGTACCTTATGAATGAGATCAATATTCATTCAACTTGTACAATAAACAAAGATTAGATTGTCTGAGGTATGTGCAGAATCATCAGAAACAATTTTAATGAAAAGGAACTCTTCTGTTTCAGCAATGCCGAAAATGTGACTGACAACATCTCAGCATCTTACACAGTACAAAACTTATCTGTTGTAAATCAAAGTTAATATTATTAACACTGTGACCAGGCCTACATTAACACACAGAGTGTGAATGGAAATGTTAATGGGGCTGTAATAAATTATAAAGAGAAAGCACCTAAAGAATCTATACATGCTTTCATCATAACCTTTAGGCTTGATAGAAATGAGGTTTTATGAGGAAGCAAAAAAAAAAAAGACATTAAATGCTTTCAAACTGTTGATTCTTTGTATGGCATTGTTAATGTGTGTATATATATATATGTGCATGTGTGTGTGTATATACACATACCTAATAGATACATACATGGGGGGATTGGCAAATATTTTTAGGGAAAAATAAGTTTTTTCTGTACTTGAAGCACACCACAAGAGGCAGTACATTATTAAGCATCATTAGCTTTTTTAATTTAATTGCACTAAAAGAGATTAAGGTCACACCCCAAGTATTCCAGCTTCTATGGGCAGGTTTTCTTTTTGTTTTCTTTTTTATATTCGAAATGAGAGACAGTATCCCCTCAGTTATCATGTGATAAGAACAATAAATGTGGCAAAACTATTTAGGGTAAGGCAAAGAAATTATGCCAAAAATAATGTCAGAGAGTTTCAAAATTGAGATGTTTTCCTTGAGAAAAAAAAAAGTAGTTTAAAAATAAAAATACATCATGGCAATTGAGACAGTGTGCTTCTTCCCCCACTACACCATCAGAAAAAAGAGCAGAAAATGTAATGGTCTTTGCCAAAAATTGAAGGCTACATCACTAGATTGCAATATTTGGCTTTTGGAGAATGAATTTAACAAAAGGAAGCAAATTTTAGAACTACTTTTTAAAAATAGAATGAACCATTAAATTAAACATTGGCCAAACCAGCCAAGAATTATACAAATTTGATGCAAATTCCATAACTCTGATTTCTCTTGCGTCTGTGAAAAACTCAACTTTATGACTGTTGATTCAACTGACTGTTGCCATTTATGTCTTTCATGGCCATGATCCTTTTGTCTCCAAGCTTCTAGATATTGCATTGGATTGGCCAACTAAGGCAATATATTTTCTATTCTGTACTTCTCAGAAATATACTTAGCATGTAGGAGAAGAGAGACTCCAGAAATGGGCTATGATGGTGGTTGAGAAGAATCTTTTTGCACATGCGTGCATGCTCATGAGTGTGTGCACACACACACAGACAATGCCTGAAGGACTTTGCAGCCACAACATCAGAGGGACAGATGATGCTTTGTTAATTTAATCTAATGTCTACAAATGTTGTACCTCGCTCAGAATGCTATCGCCTTAAATTTCAAACTTTAATTCAAGTTCTCAAAGTGTTCAGAGTTGACCATAAGGTTTGCAATCTTGGGGGCATGTCCTGATGGGTAGTAACAAGACATTTATGAAAATGTCCTTGTCTTATTCCAAAAGAGCGACCATGTGAAATGTGGCACCTGAAACTTGTTACAAAGCTTGTCACTTGCTCAATTAATTTGTCTTTATAGAGATACCAATCAGTGTGCCTGGCCAGCAATATACTCTCCTCCCAAGTCATAGTTGTAATCTGCTTTAGAACATGTTAAAATGGAAAACACGGAGCTGGAAAGGTGAACAAGAATATAGTCTAAAAGCTTGTCTTCATATACAAATAGTTCAGAAGGAGTAGGTGTGTAAGTAAAATTAAACACACACACACACACACACACATCATTCCTTGAAATTCAGTTGATGGCACAAAGAATGTGCACAGTGACTCTAATTCATAGAAACGAAGATCTCAAGCCATGCTGAAGACCAGCTTCTTTTTTTAAACCATCGCAGTATGTGCATGGTACACAGTGTATTTATATGGTGCATCCTACATACCCAATGAGAAGGCAAAAATAAAGAATTAGAATGTCATCATAATTTCAGTTTGGCAGTGATTTTATTTTTCTTGTTCTCCCTGATAATTCCAGTACCCAGACTAGTGCCTGGTATCTAATAAGCTCTTAATGCATATATGTTGAGTGATGGAGTGGCATAGGTAATTTCTGGAATGACTGAAGTAAATATAATCAGCTCACTTTAAAATGAATTTTTTCAGTATAAAGTAACTCTCTGGAAGTTGACATGAAGTTTGATCAGAAATTAAGGCAGAAGGTATGTGAAACAGTAGAAACTGTAGATATGAGTATAAAAAAAGTGGGTGGCAAGGGATAAGGAAGCATGTAGGGGGTTCTGCCCAGAATACTGAGAAACAGGCCAGACCATAATAAAAGGGAACACAGAGAAAGGAGGACCTTAGTGCACAAAAAATACAATTTTAATTTAATTTCAAAGCAACCTGAGTGTTACTGCAACACTGGAAAAAAGAACAAACTTGGTCTTACAAACATCAAAAAAAACAATGGTACCTTTAGTGTAGGGATATTTTGAGAATGGCCTATCCAGCTTACAGCAGCTACACAGCAGATTTCAATAGTCTAAGAGTGAAAACGTTTTAGAAATAGATGTGTTTGGAAAATTTTATACAAAAATAACTCAGCCATAGGATGGATTTGAAATATAAGGGAGAAATGAGTGAAAGATGTTCATTCTTTCATTCATTCCCCAATACTTAGTGAATGCCTGTGATGGGATAGAGCAGAGAAAAAAAAAAAAATAAGAAATCCTTGGCTTCATTCACTGTACATTCTTTAGGGTGGACCAAGCTTGTCTAAACCGCACGTAGTCCAGGATGGTTTTAAATGCAGCCCAATATAAATCTGTAAACTCTCTTAAAACATTATGAGACTTTTTTGGTGATTTTAAAAAAATAACTTATCAGCTAGTTGTTAGTGTTAGCGTATTTTATGTGAGGTTCAAGACAATTCTTCTTCCAAGTAGCCCAGGGAAGCCAAAAGATTGAACACTCCTGGGGTAGACAAAAATATGAAACCCAAAACAAATTAAATTAAAAATGGAAAAGAAAGTCTTGCAGAATCTTAGGAGGTTATGTGCTTGGAAGGACAAATAATGACATGGAGACCGGGCAGAGGGAGCTGGAGGAAGGGGCTGTGGTACTTTCAAGCACAGTGGTCAGGAAAGGCCCCCAGGGAGAAGATGGCATTGAAGTCTGAAAGAGGTTCTAAGTTCTTTCTGTTCTAGAGGATAGAGATACCGTCATACTTACAGAGAAAGGACATGTCATAAAGGCTTAGGGGCAAGCCGGGTTCATAACCTTTGTTTTAGAATTTTTCTTCTTCTCTATAAAATGTATCAATGCTTTTCAATAATTAGGGGTAAGTTCATTTTGTTTGTTTTTTTCCTCAAAGGCTCAAGAGATAGTTATGATTCTCAGTGACTTTCCCATTGGCTTCTTTTTAAAATATTTCAATTCGAATCAAATGTCCAGTGAGCAGCGGCTGTGCCTGGGAGGCGCCACAAAGGGGAGTGAGTTTCCAACCTCAGGAGAAGGACAAATAACAGGGAAAGGCAAAGGTTTAAAGAATTTGAATAGGGTATGAATTCGATAATATAAAACGAAACGTCATGGCAATGCAGAAGAGACAACAGTCAATCAGGAGGAGCTGAAAACCGCTGACAGAGGTGGGCGTCTCTGCCAAGAATTCTGAAAGGCGTAGGTGGCGCTGCTGTTGGAAGGAGGAATAGGAGCCCAGGAGAAGTCCGAGCTTATTTGAGGAACAAAACACAAGGAGAGGCTGCAGAAGTAATTCACATACTAACGAACAAAAAGCAATCAGTTTGTCATTTGGCTAAATTTTTGTTTGTTTGTTTGTTTGTTTTGAGATAGAGTCTCACTCTATCGCCGAGTGCAGTGGCACAGTCTCGGCTCACTGCAACCTCCGCCTCCTGGGTTCAAGCGATTCTCCAGCCTCGGCCTCCCGAGTAGCTGGGACTACAGGCGCCCACCACCACGCCTGGCTCATTTCTGTATTTTCAGTGACTCCTTGATATTTATAATCAGAAAATTTGATGAAGACAAAACAATTCGTAACTCTAAGCTTTCAAGAAACATAAGAAAGAATAAATATCTTCACAACAATATAAGCCAAAGTTTAAGATGTTAGGGTTTCAAAACATTTTCCTGAAGAATCAATGACTGACCATACGTTAATAATATATGTGGTTTAAAATAATGCACTGGAAAGTCGCGTGAGGGCGTCTCTTTCCGTAGCAGTTCAATTAAAGCAGAGACTGAACTGCTTGCCCGAGCACTGCACTTGCACACTCTCATTTGTGACTGTCATCATTTCTCCCTTTTCCTTATGTTTCTTTTCCAAATTGGCACTTTATTTAAGTCAAATCTCCTCAGTTCAGTATCACAACCAGAAATCCACTCAAAAAAAAAAAAAGATGAAATAAATGAGAACGCAGAGGGACTTCACTTACACAGCCAGAGAAGTCTCAAGACTAAGCACTGTTAAAAAAAAAAAAAAAAAGTAAAAGCAGTTGTCAGTGTGAAGCAAAAAGATATCAAGCAAGGTTTTAAAACGTTTGAAATGGTGGAATGGTGGAATGGTGGAATATAAGGCTGATGATTGTGAGGAATGGTTGTCTATAATTTTTAAAATTTTAAATGCTGCTTCTTGAATTGTCAACAATAGAGCGACACTCGGGATTGCAGGGCGAGGAAGTTCTGGATCTAAGGGACCTTAAGGAACAGCAACCCTCTGGGTCCACAGTTGAGGAACCGGAAGGAGGCTTTGCAGTCACATAGACCCAGCAGCAGAGCTGGAGAGAGGAGGTAGGAGACTTTTAAAAAGCGATGGCTCACGCCTGCAGCCCCAGCACTTTGGGAGGCTGAGGCGGGCGGATCACCTGAGGTCAGGAGTTCGAGACCAGCCTGGCCAACATGGCGAAACCCCGTCTCTACTAAAAATACAGAAATGAGCCGGGCGTGGTGGCGGGCGCCTGTAATCCCAGCTACTCGGGAGGCTGAGGCAGAAGAATCCCTTGAATCCGGGAGGTGGAGTTTGCAGTGAGCCGACATCGGGCCACCGCACACTCCAGCCTGGGTGACAGAGCAAGACTCCGTCTAAAAAGAAAAAAGAAAAAAAGAAAGCAAGGTCTCGAAGACATATTACTACACTCACGTTCACAGAGGCATTACAGTAGTCAAAAAGTGGAAGCAACCCACGAGTTCGTAACAAATAATAAATGGAGAAACAAAATGTGGTCTATCCGTACGATGGAATATTATTCAATTTTTAAAGGAAGGAAATTCTGCCACATGCTGTGCATGGATGAATCTTGAGGTCATTATGCTGAGTGAAATAAGCCAGTCACGAAGGAATAAACACTGTATGATTCCCCCTGTATGAGCTAGTCAAAATCGTAGAGACATAAAGTAGAACGGTGGTCACCAGGGGCTGAGGAGAGGGAGGAATGGGAAGCTATTGTTTCGTGGGTACGGAGTTTCCGTTTTGCAAGATGAAAAAGTTCTGGAGATGGATGGTGGTGATGGTTGCACAATAATTCAAATGTACCTAATGCCATCGAACTGTACACTTAAAATGTTTTAAATCAGGCCGAACACACTGGCTTATGCCTGTAATCCCAGCACTTTGGGAGGCTGAGGCGAGCAGATCACCTGAGGTCAGGAGTTCGAGACCAGCCTGGCCAACGTGGCGAAAACCAGTCTCTATTAAAAATACAAAAAAAAAAAAAAAAAAAAAAAAAGCCAGGCGTGGTGGTGGGCACCTGTAATCACAGCTACTCAGGAGGCTGAGGCTGGAGAATCACTTGAACCCAGGAGGCAGAGGTTGCAGTGAGCCAAGATCGCACCATTGCATTCCAGCCTGGGCAACAAGAGCAAAAGTGCATCTCAGGGAAAAAAAAAAAAAAAAAAAAAAAAAAAAGTTAAAATCACAAATCTATGCTATTTGTATTTTACCACAATTTTTAAAATACTAATATAAAAAGTACAACTCCTCTTCCTAGGAGATGATAGTGCTCACCAACTGCCAGTCCTTTCTCATACCACGCTGTGATTGTTACTTTGTGTAAACACAGAGACTGGATAAATCATCTGTTGGACAGCACTGAGAGACAGCTGTCTCAGGTGAAGTGCTCCAGTCCCACTTCTGGAGGCTTGAGAAGCCCTATCATGATGTTTTGACTCATTACCCTGAGCCTTCATCAGCTGATGAAACTAATTTTTTTCATCAGCTGATTAAGATTCAAGGTAATGAGTCAAAACATGCCAGTAGTAATTCCCAACTGCATTGAAGACAAGATGTTAACTTTTCCATGCACATACATGCATGCAGACAGACACAAAATGAACCAACACAGCCTCCTTGCATATAGAAAAGTTCATTTTGTTAACGAAGGGGGTGACAATTACCACATACATCTAAAAGGGGGAAAGAAAAATTGGTTGACCAAACAATTGAACTGATTAATAATTTTAATAAGGGAGAAATGGCATGAAATTAATTCATGAGAGAACACAACTGGAGAAAAGAAAATAAAAATCACACAGGAAATTGCCATGCACAAATCCAAACAGATTCTAGGAAAAACCAAAATTCCAAATGCTTTGTGCTTCCTCTTGAATCAACAAGTGCACTTCAGAATGTTTTTGATGGCAACTGTATCTAAGCTTAAAGTTCCAGGAATTTTCCACAACTGTTCTGCATTCTGCAGGCCTTTTGTCTGACTACAGAATATTGAGTTTTAGCAACAAAAGCGTTTGATTGAATACTCTACCCCTTAATATCAGCTATATATGTATTTTAAATTCTATTAGGCATCCATTGGGAAACTACCTAATATTTCGAATGCATTGCTTAATGTGCTAACTGATCTTATTTTCGTGTGGAGCTCACTGTCAGGGATACCAAAAGCATAGTGACAGTTATTGCTGCTGAAAGGATTCTATGGGGGTGTGAGCAGAATGGTTAATGGACCTGCAGTCAGGGGAGTTAAGTATTTCCTAAATCTGGTAATAGTCCAGCATTCCAAGAGCCGAGGAAGACTGGACATAAAATCTGCATATCAGCCTAGGTTTATCTCCTTCAGTAGTTTGAGTAAATCAACTTATAAGATCTGCTATGAAAAGTGTCCCTCTAAAAATGTAACGAATGCTAAAACATGGCATGAGATAGTCTCAATGGTAAACTGAAAGCAAACAGTTTACATTGGGAACAAACAATAACTGTGATCCTAATGTCTTTGAATTGCAACAACTGAGTATGCAATGCTTTTAAATGCGAGATTCAAAACCACAAAGAGACCTGGTTCACCCATAAACGATTAAGGAAAACTTCTACCTACAGCCCACTGCTGATCAGCAGGCACTATGAAAGCTTTTCTGCTGGAACTCTTTGTGAGAATTTTGTCCGAGGTTTTGGGGAGAGGGGAAAGCTTAGTACTAAAAAGATGTAAACATTCTCTTCTCTTTTTAACTGTTTTATTTTTCTTTCTTCCCCTGACGGCTGTATCTCTACTGTACCAGCTCCTGTCAGTTGCAGAAGAAACCATCACTCTACTTATTAGGAAAGTATTACTTCTGCTATGTTTTAGTTTAAAATATGCTATTTAGAGGTACCATCTCTCAGAGACCAACTCATGCATGTGCTCAGAGAGGGTCTTAATTGATGCATGATTTACTACATGAAGCAAAACTTTGCTTGGATAGGCTGAAAGACTATGGCGAGGAAGAGCCCTTTATACAGTTTTATAGGCCTGTCTTCTCATTGGGAGCATACATTTACTAATTGTATAATTGGTGGCACAGTTCTTCCATCATAAACATTGTTATCAGTTAATTAAACTTGAAATGCAGCTTTGTTCCGCAACATGTTTTGTCAGATTGTTTTCCTTATTTATTTATCATCATAAAATTTTACTTGGTGACTGGCAGCTTCTCAACCCTCCAATAATAATATAAATCAAAACATAAGATTTTAGTCTTCATGCAATTTCCTTTTGGTCTGAAAATATGAAACCAGATGTTTTTGGCATGCTAAAGATGCTTTTCATCTTTTTTTAGATTCTTTCAGTGCAGTCAAAGTAAATGCATTTTAAAACCAACTTATGAAAGTTAAATTCCCTTTGTTCATCTGTATGTAGTCTGGTTTGCATTGATGCAGGGGCACTGAGAGACCTTTCAGATAACATACTGAATGTCTTGGAGAAATTATACATGTGGGGCAAAAAGCTCAAAGGGCAACAGAAATTGTATTAATAGTAGATCAATAGACCATGAACTGTGATTCACCAGAGGATCTTACCAAGCAGCATGTGCACGTTGGACAGCAACCAGTATAATCTTGACTATCTATATATTATCTGGGTGATGTGCCTAATTTGTTCACATAGTTATCACATACTTGTTCCAGTTTGAAAATGTGGGGCCCATGAAAGCACAGCCATTGGAATTTCCTGTGACAGTGAATCTCATTTCAGTAGATATTACCATCTATCTCAGCCTAAGGCTATCACTAAAACATCTAAACATTCCCAGATGGAACCTACTTTGCTGATATTAAAGGGATTTAGTGTTAGTGGAGAGGCTTGAGGTCAGCAAATAGGAGCAGGAATAGAGTGGCACCTGGGCTAATCTCATTTGTACATGGCCTCAGATTGCCATTACATCCCTGGGCTATCTTGTGGTTTGGGTATTAGAACTCTTAGGACAGACTGAAATACTTTGAGATCTTGGTGGGTTGGTGTATGGAATTATTTATAATCAGCTTTGCTATCTCAGCTTTGATGTGGTTGCGCCATCCTCAGGCCCAAGCTTCATTGCATAAATTCCATGGGCCAGTGCACAGGACACTTCTACCTTTTTCCCCATCCCCAACGATCTTAGCACCCTCTTTACTCATGAAGAGTAGGACTCTGCCACCTTGTATCCTGCTTGATTTTCGAGGAAGTTTTCTTAGAATTATCCACATACACAGACCTCATGGACTTCCTTATTACCCATTGCAATTGAGTTTCTATTTTCAGCATTCCACTGAATTTGCTGTGTCTGAAGTCACCAATGGTCCCTTAATAACCAAACACAATGTGTTCTTTCAGCCTTCAACATCGTTAACCTCTGTGACACTGGCTGCTTGCTTCTTCTTCAGTGTATCCTCCCTTAGCTTACTCAGACTAAGTTCTTTTGGTTCTCCTGTTCCTCTGACCTTCTTTCCTAATGCCTCCTGCTCATTCCTCTTCCTCTGCCTGACTCTGAATATTGCACAGTAGCTCCCCCTTATCCACAGCGGATACATTCCAAGACTCCCCGTGGATGCCTGAAACTGCAATACATTGATTTTCCCCAAACAATATATATACATATATATATATATATATATATATATGCTTTATAAATAAAGCTTAATTTATATATTAGGCATGGTAAAAGATTAACAATAACAATAATAAAATAGAACTATTATAAAAATATTCTGTAATAAAGGTTAGGTGAATGTGGTCTCTCTTTCTCTCTCTCTCTCAAATTATCTTATTGCGTGCAATATTTTGAGACTGCAGTGGACTGCAGGTAAATGAAACCTCGGAAATCAAAACTCTAGATAAGCGGGGATTGCTGTCTTCTGTAAGGTTCTGCTGTTGACCCTCTGACATCTTCACTTCTCATAATTTTCTGGGTGTGGCACTGACTCCCATCACTATCCATATGCTGATATCACCTGTAATTCTATTTCCCATTCATCTTGCTCCTCTGCTGAAGATCACACTCTCTACCTGCCTAGTAGAAACCCACACAGAAAAGTCCCAAAGCCACCACACACTCAGCGTTTAAAAAAAAAATTTCCCTGAAATTATTGTCTTTCCTAAATAGTCAAGCCTAATTAATATTACCCAGACATCAAAGCCAGAAATCGACTGAGCATCTATGATTTTTTTCACATAAATTACCCACACATCCATTTGCTCACAAGCTTCACAACTACCTTTGAATTACCTTTTAAAATTGTCCAGTTCATTCTGTTAATACTCAAGGAAAAATACAATATTTAAAATAATTAGGGAATATTTGCCTCTCTGGAATTGGGTAAAAAATTTCATTTGGATAAAGATTCTTGCCAGGCTAGCTTCAAATTCTATAAACCATCACCTTCTCACAAGTCTGACCTTGAAAGACACACAAAACCTGGGAGATGTAAACTGGTAAAAATGGAGGAAGGAAAATGGCAAAGAGAGGCAAGGCAGGAAGACAAGATAAAGGGCATTTCCCCAACTTCTTCTCCTCTTTTCTTATTTTGGAAAATGTTACTGAAATCCATCTGGTTACTCGAGTCAAAATGGTTTTGTTTGGGAGGTTTTTTTTTTCCTTATTTTTTCCTTTTTCTTAGTCCTTAGGCCCAGTTGGATCATGAATGCTGTAGCGTCCACTTCCCTATCATCTTCCTAGACATTCTCATTACTATGACCTACTTCATGTCCTCCAGGGAGCTCACCTAACCTTGCTGTCCCACTTTTCTTCAGTCTCCTTACTGCTCTTGGTGCCTTCCTAAACAGAAGAACTGCTTAAAATCCATTGATGTTGCCTCATTACTGTCAGGACAAAATCCACACTTCTTAGCAAAATAGGCAGGCCCATCATCTGTTTTGGTGCTTACCTCTGCTGTCACCCAACATTTAGGTGTGCTGAACAATCTGTATTCTGAAAGTGCCATTGTGATTCCTACCTTGTCTCTGCTAATGCTCTCTAATGTCCTTCTCTCTTTTTATTCTTCACCACCTGCTGATTAGCTCAGCTCTATGACTCATCACTTCCTTCAAGCTGCCCCACTGCCCAGGTAGAACTAACTTGACCATCCTTTTTTTTTTTTTTTTATTTCTCCTTAGGTAACTGTATTAGTCCATTCTCACAGTGCTTTAAAAAGAAAAAAAACCTGCAACTGGGTAATTTATGAAGAAAATTAACATTTTCTTTATATATATAAATTAATATCAATTGGCTCATGGTTCTGCAGGCTGTGCAGGAAGCATGCTTCTGGCATCTGCACATCTTCTGAGGAGACCTCAAGAAACTTACAACCATGGCAGAAGGCAAAGAGGGAGTCAGCAATTCTCATGGCTAGAGCAGGAGAAAGGGGAGGAGGAGGTGCCACACAGTTTCAAACTGATCTCGTGAGAATTCACTCACCATCAGGAGAACATCTCCAAAGGGATGGTTTTAAACCATTCATGAAGGGTCCACCTCTATGATCCAATCATCTCCCTTCAGGCCCCACCTCCAACATTGGGGATTACAATTGAACATGAGATTTGGGCAGGGGCACAGATCTAAACCAGATCAGAAACTTTTACCATCTTCCTATATCTTTGTCCCTGTAGCACCGTATAACACATCCATATTCAGTCTAGTCAACTAGACTAGAACTCCTGAAGTTCCAGAACCATTCCTGGCTGTGTTTGGTGTTCTCATCTGTAGCACAGTGGCATGGAACTTAGTAGATTAGTATATAGTTCATGATGTCTGTTCTGACTACTCGTGAGCATGGCACTCTGTGAACCACAAGCCTGTGAAGCAGGTTCACAGTGCAGCAGTTACCAATCCCAGGCAATTATCCCACCACATGGAGGATAGCAAAGTTCCTCACTACATCAACCACTAGGAAAAAGAGTCCAAACATTTCCACCCGCTGCATCTTGGGCTGCAATTTATAACAACTGCGTAAGTTCAGTGAGACAGAACGTTTATACAACAAGGTAAGCGAAGCCACTTTATTACTCACAGACAGGCAGGAAGGGACAAGAGCAGCCTGGGATTCATAGTAACCCAGAGCCCCCAAGGCTCAGGAAAGCTGCTTGAAGTGGATGCAATCTCATCTGCTTATGCCCACGTTGCACAGCAGCTGAACAACCCCAAAAGCACTCTACTGTATACCCCAGGGTAATCTGGAATCACTGGGCTACAGTGTGGTAGGACATCCTGTTCTAGGAGGGGTGGGCACAGAGCCTAGGCTTAAATGACAGGTCTTTCTTATCTCAGGATGTTATATTCCCAGTACATTCTACAGTTGTGAGAGCTGCAAGCAAGAAAGAGAGGAAGAGCTGAGTCCTTCAGGCTATTTTCCAGCATTTGCTATTAGAGCTCTGATCCCAGCTCCACCATGCAAAGGCCAGCATAACCTCTTTATGCTTCTACTGTATCTTTTGTCAAATAATGATAACAATACCACACACCTAATGACATTGATGAAAGAGGGACAAAAATGAGAACAATGGTGTGTCTGATGCAAACAGTGAGTGCTTAAATATGTTAGTTGTTATCATCAGCTCATCAGTGAGTGCTTATTAAAAAGGATTTGAAAAAGTACAAGAGGATATCAAGATGTATCAGTCCCCTGAAACTAAGAATCATGCCTTGAGTTTCTTTGGGTTTGTTCGTTTGTGTTTTTTTCCTCCTCCATTTACTCAGCACAATGTCAAATCCAAAATAAGAATTGCATAAATGTAGTTGAATACTAGATCAAAAAGATAATATATCGACGGGTTCAATTTCAGTTGGGGGGTGGATGCGGAATTAGTAAACACAAAGAGAAAGAAAATTATCAAAGGTGGGTAGAGTCAGGGGCTGATCACAGAGAAAGAAGACCAGAGAAGCCCCCGGAACAGTGCTGAAGTAGATGTGGAAGAGGAAGCTCAGCAAAGTGTCCCGAGGTCATTGATCTGTGGGCCTTTGAGTGAAATAAGCCATTCTTCTTGTGAGGTACAACAGAGACAGGACAGTGAAATATTTCATTGACTAAGGAGGTAGTGAGAGAGTTCCCAGTCATTTTCTTTGTCCCTTTTCTTTACTGTTGTTCACTTCACTGAATTATTTTTCTCAAAATTTCATAATCATGTATTAATTACCATAGGATATCTCAAAGTTGATGTTACCTCTTTGTATCAATACATGTACCTAGAGTCCTGCTTCCATAACATCCTTGCTAAGCTCCTCCTCAAAGATTTAATCTCTCTTTCTAGATGAAGTCCTCTCTATTTGTAGTTAAAGGAACTTTGGGAATTGAGCTCTAAATTTGCTTTCAGATTTTAGTAAGTGACCAAGGTAAGAGGACCCCTGTCTCCTGGTCATGTTAAAATTACTCATTCAGCAAACTTTATTGTGTACCAACTAAGGGTAAGAAAACTGAAGGTTATTTGCTGTTAAGTAAACTAAATATAGTTTATTTGAACTGTATTTATGAATTTGAAGCATGTTAGAGGACATCCTTGGGAAATCCCTGAGACCTTCTGATATTGAAACAGGAAAAGTTCCCTTGTCCCCCTTGTAGGGCGTGCAATGGGGGTGTGGTTTGCTTCTTCAGTGCCCCACTACTCAAACCTCTAGGGGAGCACACAGATGGGCAGGCTGTGGGGTTCCAATCCTATGGCAGTGTCTAGGGGTGAATGTTTACAGCTGAAACCCCAGTGGGCATGTGTTACAAGGTGCTCTTTTAGTTTGCTGTCTATAGGCAGCTTGTGTTAACCAGCTCAGTTAGACCCTCTATCTTGTCACAAGGACAGAGGGCTTTCTGTATCCCAGGTTCTTGCCTTGGTGTACCAGAAAAATTGTATCACACGTGGGCTTGGAGAATGAGTACAAAATTCTATTGAGTGAAAGTAGCTCTCAGCAGATGGGGGAGCCAGAAGGGAGATGGTTTTTCCCGTGGAGTTGGGCCCTTAGTGGCCCCCGGCTCTCCTCTAACTGCCCCAGCCAAACTCTGCCTTGTCCCACCAGTCGATGGCCTGAGGGTGTGCTGGCATCTGTCAGTGTGCTCTTCTGCTGGCATGCTCCCTTGACATCCTCTCGCCTTCCAGCCGCTTGTGTTTTCTTCTGGTGATGTGCTCCTCTCAACAACTGGCTGCCTGTGTGTCTGCCGGCTAGGGTCTCAGGTTTTTATAAGTCCAGGATGGGGGCGTGGCAGACCAGGGTGGTCTTGGAAAATGCAACATTTGGGCTGAAAGCAGGAGTGCCTGTCCTCACCTAGTCTGTTGGAGGGGAGCCCTAGCCAGGAACCCGCCTTTCTCTACCCAGCACTTCCCTCCCGCACTCCCGTATCAAGGTAACTATACGATATGTTACTGTCTTCTCATTGAAAACAGACAAATTAGCAGGCTCTAACTGCTCTTTGTTTACTGCAGGAAACACATGCCAAGATCAACTGACTTGATAGGTAATCCATTTGCCCTCAAGTACCCCTCTAGCCCAGGAAGCCCATCCCTGCCCTCTAGAACAGTGGGATAACAATGCAAACTACACTTCCCAGAAGTCTTTACCCACCACTTCCTGTTAGATTCAGCCAATGGAAGCACTTACAGGAAATTAGAGGGTCGGTGGAGGAGGGGTGAAGCTATGGTATTCGTAACTCATCTCTGTGTCCACAGGCTTTTCCAGCATGGGCTTTATCTCTCCTGGAAGTCTGTTCTCACCAAGCAGATCAGCCCTCAAAGGCCCCATCTCCTGGACCCTGGTATATATATCCCTTCTCTTTGCCCCTCCAACCCTTGTTGTGGTAACAGCTTCCTGCAGTTGTCAGTGTCTGGATTGCTTCACTTCCCTTGTTTTCAGATCTTCTAATACCTCTGTGACTTGCTTTTGTATTAGATACCCATGATAAACCATCTGGGCACGAGCTGTCTTCCAGGCAGACTCTGACTGACATAGTCAAATCTGCTTCATACAGCCTTTGTGACCCATACCTGATGTCTCTTATTGGTGTGCACTTTGACCATAAGCTGATTTGCTGCAAGCACTTTAGAAACTGCCTTTTAAACTGGAGGAGAGAGGCTTCAAATTGCCTTTCTTCTTCAGCCTCGCTGATTTGAGGGTCTCTTTGTCCGGGGCCCATTGAGGCATGCCAGACAGAAACTGCTGAGAACAGGCAGGGGGTGTACAGGCTGCATGATTCCTTGGATTCTGATGGTCTTTGATGGAAGGTAGTTTCTCTCTGATGAAATGTTATTTTGAATATTATGAATTTTTGGCAAAATAATGCTGTCATCATCTGCGTAAGTTTGCTTTCTTCAGTAGCATTGCTGAGGGATGTTCAGCATTTTTATCATACAATGCACAGCTTTCAGGAAGAAAACCAAACATCTAAAGAGAAAACACACACGTGTTTGGTGGCAACCTCCAGATATCAAGACCTGGATCACTGAAAGAGATAACTCCATATTGGTTATAGTGAATTATAAGTGATTTTTAAGTAGTCAATTGACTGCCTTGTCTTCCATCATACCTACATCCCATCAATTTTCAATGCTGCTCAAAAAGCAGTCTTTCCAAAAGCCAAATCTGATCACATTTCCCAGTTTTAAAACCTCTATTGTATTTTCATAGCTTTCAGGACAAAGACCAAATATTTCAGCATGGTAGCATACCTCGTACTTCAAATATGTAATTCCTGCCCTTCTCTGTATCCTCCTGCCTGCTATTTCTGCCCATCCCCATTATTCCCTTTGGCTTTCAAAAGTTCCCTAAATCTGCCATATTTTAAAAATATCTATCATTTTGTGTTTGGTGACCTATTTTCTCTCCTTTCTTTCTTTCTCTGACTCACCCCTAGTCTTTTCAGGTTCGGCTGAAATGCCACCTAAAATCTGCCCCTGCCTGCCTTCTGTCCCTAGCCCTATCTGGCAGAACACCAGCCCAAGGGCTTCCGTAGGATCTGCTGCATACCCTACACTTTACACAGTGCGGGAATCATCTGTTTTCCTGACCAGCTTCCCTGGCACACTGGCTGTCTCCTGGGCAGGGCCATCCTCTTGTGCTTCCTCATTTGTGTCAGCATGTAATATAACCAGCTCTTAATACATGCTCCCACCATCAGTGCATAAGAGTTCCAGACGCTCTGCATTCTTATCAACTAAGTATTCTCAGTCTTTTTAAATGTTAGCCATACGAAGGCATATGTGGTATTTCATTGTGGTTTTAATTTGCACCTCCCTAGTAACTAATGATGTTGAATTTATTTTGACATACTTATTAACCACTTATATACCTTCTTTTGTCAAGGGTTTGTTCGGGTCTTTTGCTCACTTTTTATTTTTATTTTTATTATTGATTTGTAAGGGTTTAATGAACACAATTTTTATGACTTGGTAAGTACATATTGGTTTGGCAGAACTAAGAGAACTTTTGTCACAGTGTCTCTGAAATTTTGTTTTTACTTCTGTATAACAAGAAAAATATGGTATTATTTTGGGTTATATGAATCACTGACTTTAAAATAATCCCATATTATATAAAAAGGAGAAATTCCAAATAATATCTGACTACAAAATATTGGGTTTTTATTTAGCACACATTTATAATAAACACATGATGAAATTTGGATTTTTCTTTAGGGAGGATCAAAATGTAACTGAACATCACAAAATAATGTACTTCTTCAGAAAAAAGAATTTACTCTAACTAAAAATATTCCTATCACATTTTGGCTAAGTATACAGTGGGAAAACATGACACTAACCTTTTTCTACTAAAGGAATTTGTATCTAAATTATTTTTTATAGGAAATGGATATGTTTATCACAGAATCTGAACACACCATACAGATAAAAGAATTGGTTCTTAATGTTTTGATCATTGCCAGAACAAGCACATTTCCGGATTTATTTATTTTTTTCCCAAAAGGTTGAGTAAGACATAACAAACACTCCCTGCCACAGGCATGGCTTGGCGGTAGGTCGGATACCTGGGTTATATAAATCTTTACGCTGAGCGTTTATGACATTTCAACTTAGAAGTTCATTCAGTTTGATGATTGAGGCAGCAGGCAATTATGACATTAAAGAGTTCACAGACCTTAACCCAAGACCCAAATGGTTTAATTTTTTTAATGGCTGACTGCCTCTCCCGATGTGCACAGACCAATGCAGAGTTTAAAACCCTCACCCATCTTAATTGCCCCTGCTTTGTTGCAAGCACCACTGACTGCCTTTTAGTTCCAAATGTCTTCGGTTATTAACAATTATCAATAGAAAGTAATAGAAAGTAATCCAGACTTACACTGGCGATACAATTGGCCACATATGCCCTAGTGGAGCATAAAATAAGAAAGATCGTTACTATTACTACCAAAGCGTCATATGGAAGAACATACTTTAAAAGTGAATCACATTATGCCTGTTGAGTCAATTATTTCTACTTGCAAAGACAGGGCTTCTTCCTGAAGAGGACTTTCCTTTCTTAGGTCAAGACACAGTCATAGATTCAAATGTATGTATTCAAATGTGATTGAAGAACACATTTGAAAGATGCTACTCTACCAGAGTTGCCAGATTGGGGGAAAATATAAAGTGGAATTTTATCTAGTAATACCATATTTGCACCTACTAATATTTCCTTTGTTCCTGAACTCACGGCAATTAGTAGGTTGGCATCATATTAAATGTCTGTAATTTTCACAATTTTCTAATATTGAATCGATTTTTCAGTACCACGTAGTAAACGTAATCAATCTTGGCTGTGAACTCTAGATAGCAGCAGTAGGCCTCTAGAAAGATGACTGAAGGCTTAGGGCAGTGCTTTCATTGAAGCAGATGAGGTCAGTGAGTGTAAAATATTTTAAGAAATGTCTTCTACAATCATTAAAAATCCCTGACATGAGAGTTTGAAATGCTTATTGGTTACCTGAGATAGATCAAGTTCACATCGACTCTTTTATTTGGGGCTTGAAATATATTTTACTAGTCACAGTGCTAGAAAAGAACATTAAAGATATTTTAGTTAATTTATTCTTTCCTACCATCTGCAGCATAAAGCTATTTTCAAAAACATATAGAATACTTTTACCATAGATGTAGTTTCCTTAAAGAATCTTGACAGTATTTTGTCAATAAGTTAATTTAAAAAGTGGGGTTGATATTTCTCAAAATCATATCCTGTTTCAACCCTCCTGAGACAAATTGTCTCACCCCCAACCCAGCTTACAGTGTTAATCACTACATTCGCAATCGTATTTTGAATCCTTCTGTTGAAAACAAGGTAGTCTGTGTTACTTGTCAACAGAGGTTGCTTTTCTCCTCTTGGAAAGTCATTTGGTTACCCAACGTATCCTTCTCATTAATTGGAAAGATCAGTTTCAGTCAGAACACTACTGATTCTTGGAGCTAGTCATGATGGTGACCAGAGGTGAGTGGGGATAATTGATAGCTGTATTGGCCCAAATCCCCTTCTATGATACTAGAACATAGGTCCTTGAGCTTGCAGGCTTGATGGTTTCTTTGCTGAAGAGGTAGAACATTCTATATAACTTTATTATTCAAAGCAAAATTTATAATTGTCAGCAATTAATGGATTTTAATTTTCATTTTTAACTTTTTTTTGAGGCAGAGTCTCACTCTGTCACCCAGGCTAGAGTACAGTGGCGTGATCATGGCTCACTGCAGCCTCAACCTCCCTGGCTTAAGCAGTTCTCCCACCTCAGCCTCCCGAGTAGCTGGGACTACAAGCATGTGCCACAATGCCTGGCTAATTTTTTAGTTTTTTTGTTGAGTCATAGTTTCACTGTGTTATCCAGGCTGGTCTCAAACACCTAGTTCAAGTGATCCTCACTCTCCCAAAGTGCTGGGATTACAGGTGTGAGCCACCATACCTGGCCATGAATGGAGTTTAGAAGTTCAGTGATTATTTTATATCAAAAATTTGTACTTCCAGGGAAAAGGTTAAACTTTCTTCAGATTCTAGGAGGTTAGGAAACTCAACCTTGTATGGTATTCACTGGGTGTGCTCTATCCTAGTTCCCACAAATGTAAGATGTTATCATCTTAGGAGAGATTTGCCAAAACGTAAGTGTCTGGTCAGTACCAATGGTCAAGCATGAACCTCCAGATCTTGCAAACATGTGTCCATTTCACTGGATTCCTTATATTTTATCCTCTATCCCATCTCTCATCTATGTTCCCCCAAGAGCTTCTTCTTATCAATCTCTTACCGCCACTTCCCACAGCTATTATTATTTGTTTTCCTCTCTGTCTCTCTGCCAAGATTCTGAGTGCCTCCATGTTTCTCACTGTGTACCCCTTAGCATGCAGAGGAAAGTCCTGACACAAGAGAGTTAGTAAAGTCTGAATGAGTGAGTGAGTGAATGCATGAATGAATGAAGGAATGGAGTGTCCAGAGATGATAAAACCAGCTCATTTTCCCTGAGGACCCAGAATAAAACTAATCTGAATATGTAGATAAATGTGGTGATAGGAAGGAGGTTAAACTAGGAAGCTAGGTATCTCATGGAGGAGTGAGTCAAGGAAACCAGCACAGTTATAGAAACAATTCACTGTCATTTATTTATTATTTATTTATTTAGAAATGGGGTTCTGCCATGTTGCTCAGGCTGGTCTTGAACTCCAGAGCTTAAGTGATCCTCCTGCTTTGGCCTCCCAAAGTGCTGAGATTAGAGCTGTGAGCCACCGTACCTGGCCTAACAATTCACTGTTAACTACCTGGGCTTCTAATTTACTCAAAATCTCTGCCCTGAAAATCACATCTCATTAAAAAGTCCATCCTTCCTTGATGTGGATGAAATCTGGCCCTGCTACTTTCTGCCTCCCCGCTACTACCCCCACCATGTTCTGGGCCATCCCTGTACCCACCAAAAGCTCTGTTTGCTGCCCAGCCCACAGTCATGTTGCTTCCTTCTTTTGGTTCTTCACCTTCCTTAGACATCCTTCTTTCTGCTCTCCACCTACTAAATAATATTGCTGTAATAGCATCTTCTAGTAAAGGCTTAGTATGTTTCAGGCACCATGCTAAGGGCTTCACTGAAGTACTACATTTAATTCTCATAACAACCTGTGTCAAACTATTTTGATCCTCATTTCAAAGTTGAGGCATCTAAAGTTTCAAGAGGTTCAAAGTCACGCGCCTTATTCATCCTTCTCCAACTGAATTCAGGTGGCATTTCCTATGGGAAGCCACTTTGACTCACAGGACCCAGGTAGGCATCTTCCTGGGGCTGCAGGGCACACATGTCACCGTCAGACTGTTATCTGTATGTGCCTTGGAACTTTGTATTTCTTGAGGATAGAATCATGCTTTATGAATCATAATCTTGGGGCCAAGAACAGTGGTACTTGGCAAGGGCTCAATATAATTTGTTTTGTTTTGTGTTTTGTTTTTTATTACTTGTTTAAATAATAACTAACTCTTGGTCCTTGACTCATGGTCTTCCTCTCCACGCTGAGTCCGTCCTTCTGGACAATACGTTCAACACTAACATGCTTCAACTGTGTTCTCACACCACCAATCTCCAAGCCAGGATCAGGCAACCCATGTGCTTTTTCTGCTTGTACTTTCCAGATGACAAACAGTACTAACAAAAGCCTCTTTTTAAGCCTCTTTCCTAGTCTAGATCCACACACCAACGGGCACATGGCAGAAGTGGTTAACAGCACAGCCCCAGAGTCACACTGCCCAAGTTCGTATCCCTGCCCCGCCTTACAGGGCATTGGGAAAATCTGTGTCATTGGGAAAATCATTACCCTCTCAGAGTCTCCAAGCCCACATTGAAACAGAGGGGATCATGAAATGACCTACCACATAAGAATGGCATGAGGATTAACTGAGTCATTAAATGAGGCATCTATACAGCTTATATAGACTCATACACGTGTGTGCCTATGTGTGTGTATGTAGTTGATTTTCATTATTTGTGGTAGTAGCAGTCACGTTTTCATCAATCAATACAAAATTTTGTTTTATACACTTAAAAAATATATATCGTTCATTCATTTTGCATTAAACTCACAGCCAACAGCACCATAACTTATGCTGAATGAGGCTCATTTAATACACATATTTTCTCCACAGGGTGCATCACAGCCATCTCACACAGGAACACTGGAAAGCACCTCAGCACTACCATTGAGGGCCATTTTAAACAGCAAAATCTCCATCAGAAAGCCCTCAGATTGGAAAAATGTGTTACTACATAGATTGTGAAAAGGGCACCTATTCAGGGAGCTGAAACAAGACCATCGTCTTGTTCAGCCTCAGCTGAGGACATACACATTGTGCAACTCCAATTTTTTGCCATTCTGTGTATGTCTACAAATGAATTTAAAAGCACCAAGAGAATTGATTTGGGAGTGTTCATTAAGTCTAGCCTAAAGCTGCCACCTTATATATTTTAAGGTTACCCTAAAGGTTTCTCTGTGTATAGTGAACTCTCACCTAACTGGACGTGTAAACAGACTATCACCTAATCTTGCAATAGCTGGCTGAGTCTCAGCCAATCACAGCAATCATACTTCAACCACTCATAGGCAGTCAGCTGTTCACATCATGTTGAAGTGAGGCAAACGCTGCTAAGCTGTAACCAATCCAGCTGTTTTTGTATCTCGCTTCCATTTTCTGAACATCACTTTCTTATTTCTGTTCATAGATCCTCTCTGACCACACAGTAGCATGGGTCCTCTCTGAACCTTTTCTGCCCATTTCGTGACTCCTTTGCTCAATTAAACTCTGTTAAATTTAATTTGCCTAAAGCTTTTCTTTTAACAGGAGTTACAAATCAATTTTAGCAAGTAGGCAAATTTGCAAAAATCTAATTCTCAATGAGGATTGACCCTATACCCATGCATATATTACCAGGTACTTTCTGAGCAGGAGGATCTCTGCAATTCTGGTTCCAGCCCCTTCTTCCACCTTTGCCCTCGCCACCTCTTTTTTGTTTTGTTTTTGAAACAAGTTCTCACTCTGTTGCCCAGGCTGGAGTAGAGTGGCACAAACACGGCTCACTGTAGCCTTGAACTCCTGGGTCCAAGCAACCCTACCGCCTCAGCCTCTGGAGTAGCTGGGACCACAGGTGTATGCTACCATGCCTGGATAACTTTTTTGTAGAGACAGGGTCTCACTGTGTTGCCTTGAACTCCTGGGCTCAAGTGATCCTAGCACCTTAGCCTCCCAAAGCTCTGCAATTACAGGAGCCACCACATCTGGCCTGCACCCACCACTTCTTGCAGCACCTGGTTCTATCAGCCATCCCTGTCCTCCAACTCCAGTACTTTAAACATGCTCAAACTTTTCCCATGTGAAAAAAAAAGAGAGAAGGAATTACACATGCACTTCCTCACTCTTACATCCTCATTTCTCTCCTCTCCTCTTTATTGAAAGTCCTCAACAGAACGTTCTTCTCTCACTAACTCTGGTTCTTCACCTTTCACCCCTACTTCAAACCATCATGAACCAGCATGTGCAGCAGCCACAATACTGAAACTGCTCTTCCTAGGACCACCAGCCACCTCCTCACTGCCCAGTTCAATACCTGCTTTCTCATGCTGACTTTTCTGGACAGTTTCCCCGCATTTGACATTTCAGGTCACTCCCCACCTTAGAGACTCATGGAATCCATCAGATCCTACTACACACTGCTGCCTCACACTTCTCGGGGTGTATTTTTGCTGTCATCTCCCTGGATTGCACTTCTCTTCCTGCCTCTGAGATGTCATTGCCCGGAGGCCTGTAACTCCTTCTTGCTTAAATGTTCTCCATGATTTCCAGTGTCCGGATGGTGCCCATATGTGCATCTGCAAACTCATCACAAGTTTACTCTCTTCCTTGCCTGGGCTGATTTCTCCTCTGACTTCAACTCCTCACCTGTCCAATACCTAAACAGATGTAAGACTCAGCCTGGTGTTGTATAAGATTTAAAACTTCTTTCAATGCCAAGATACAACACAAAGACACTCAGAGGTGAGAGACAGAACTTGTTACCTACAGCTCCAAATCAGAGCAGGCTGTCGGCAGAGCCACACAGGGGCTTGAAACAGGGCAGGGTAAGAGCAAGCTGGGGCTGTCAGAGATAGCTTATGTATGGCAAGCGAGGTGGGCTTAGCTGGGTTTCCAGGCTGCTTGTGGGTTCACTAACTTGAATACTTTATCAGGTTCCTAGGCATTGAATCTGTCCCTAGTTGTCTGGCACCTAGCCCCAGGGAGATAAACGTGGGTGCACAGGAGCCCCAGAGGGTGAGAGCCCAACAAGAAAGGTGGTCGAGGTATGGACTTAATCAGATGCCAAGAAGGAACTGATCAGCCTCTAGTCAGGGCCTCAAAGCTGGGTCAAGACAGCATTACAAAAAACAACTGTCTTACAACAGGCATCACTGCTCCAGTGTGACTGAGAATTTCCCGGAGATCCAGTGTCCCTTTCCTAGGCACTGAATTACACTTGTCCACTTAGGCTTCTGTCTCCCTTACTTGGTTGATAGCTGCGATGGCAAGAATTGTGTCTTGTTCATCTTTGTACTCCAGAACCCAGCACAAAGAAAGTGCTTAATAGTTTCCAAATGGATTAATAAAAGGTGAAAAATAGAGAATCAAAATCTTAGAATCTAGAATCACCTAGATCTTAGAAAAGAAGCACCTATGTTTAAAAATATGATCTTCTTGGAAAAAAATATCAATATACAGAAAATGCAAGAAACAAGCACGGCTCTAAAGTGAAACTTGGTGTCTAAGTGAACTAGGTATTAAGTTGCTATGGGAAAAAATTAATTCATTTGAGGAAAGATGAGAAGGGTATAACGGAGATTAATTAAAATTTAGTTTATCAGATTTTTCTCAGGAGATTGGCAATTTAGTCAGAGGAAAATCTTATTTAAGTGCATAAGTATATTTCAGCTTATAAGTGGGATGCATGGTAAAATGAAAACAGAATATCAGTGTATGTTAAGTAGTTACCATTTTAGAATTTGAAATCCTCTAGAATTCTAAGACTAGAAAATAAAAGTCTCAGGGTAAAAGTTTGCAGCTATCTCCGTCTGATGAATACTTAAAATACCAGATGCATGGAGTCACTGATGGCTTTCATGTCCCTAAAGCTGACAGACTCTAGTTGGTATTCATCTCATCTGTGAAAACCCATGGGATTGCTCCATCCGGGAAGTTTTCTATTCTCTTGGCTTCTTTACATCAGTCTCTCTTGGATTTCCTCCTGTTCTCTGGCTGATTTTGTTTTGGTTTAGGTATCATTTTCTGGCCCCTCCTCCTCTACCTAGCCTTTAAATTCCAAAGGAATCCATCCTGGTCCTCATTCCTTTCTTGATCTACATCCTCCCTCAGATAGCTTACCTACTCTCCTGGCTTTAATGCAAATTCTCTGTGCCATCAACTCCCAGTTTCATGTCTGTGTTCCCTAAAATGTTTTTGCACAGCAAAGAAAACAATCAACAGAATGAAGAGGCAGCATACAGAACGAGAGAAAATATTTGTAAATCGCTCATCTGAGAAGGGGTTAAAATCCAAAATATATAAGGAATTTAAGCAACTCAATAGTAAGAAAACAAATAACCTAATTGAAAAATAGGCAAAGGATCTGAATACACATTTCTCAGAAGAAGACATTTAAATGGCCAATAAGTATATGGGGAAAAAAAGGTCCCAAATCACTAGAGAAGTGCAAATCAAAACCACAATGAAATATCACCTCACAACTGTTAGAATGGCTGGTATCAAAAGATAAGGAAGTGATAAGAAGTGATGGAGAAGATGAAGAGAAAAGGGAATCCTTGCACTGTGTTGGTGGAAATGTAAATTAGCACAGCCATCGTGGAAAACAACATGGAAGTTCCTCAAAAAATTAAAAATAGAATTACCATATGATCCAGCATTTCCACTACCGAACATATATCCAAAGGAAATGAAATCAGTATGTCTAAGAGATATCTGCACTCTCGTGTTTATTGTAGTGCTATTCACAATAGCCAAGATGTGGAATCAACCTGTGTCCATCAACAAATGACTAGATAAAGAAAATGTTATGTATACACAATGGAATACTATTCAGCCTTAAAAAGAGAAGGAGCCCAGGCGCTGTGGCTCACGCCTGTAATCCCAGCACTTTGGGAGGCCGAGGCGGGCGGATCACGAGGTCAGGAGATCAAGACAATCCTGGCCAACATGGTGAAACCCCATCCCTCCTAAAAATACAAAAAATTAGCTGGGCGTGGTGGTGGGCGCCTGTAGTCCCAGCTAATCGGGAGGCTGAGGCAGGAGAATGGCGTGAACCCAGGAGGCGGAGCTTGCAGTGAGCCGAGATCGCGCCACTGCACTCCAGCCTGGGCGACAGAGCAAGACTCCGTCTTAAAAAAAAAAGAAAAAAGAAAAAAAAAAGAGAAGGAAATCCTGTCATTTGTGACAACATAAATTAATCTGGAGGACATTGCGCTAAGTGAAATAAGCCAGGCACAGAAAGACAAATGCTGCATGATCTCACTTCTATGTGGAATCTAAAAAAGCTGAACCCACAGAAGCAGAGAGTAGAATGATGGTTACCAGAGGCTGGGAATGGGGGCAGTGAGAGTGGGAAATGCTGGTCAAGGGATCCAAAATTTCAGTGAGATAGGAGGAATAAGTTCAAGAGATCTATTGTACAATATGTTGACTGTAGTTAATAACAATGTACATATTGTATTCTAGAAAATTGCCAAGAGGGTAGATTTTAAGTGTTCTTACCAGAAAAAAAAACATAACTGTGTGATGTAATGTATATGTAAATTAGCCTGATTTAGCCATTTCAAATGCATTCATATTTCAAAATATACCATATTAAACTGTACCATAAATGTGTACAGTTTTTACTTGTCAATTTAAAATTAAAATAAAATTAAAACTCTAGGGAAATAAGGGAAAAGTGAAGAGAGCATACATAAATTTACCTATGGGAGAGAGTAGTGTGTGTACAGTTTTTATTTGTCAATTTAAAATTAAAATAAAATTAAAACTCTAGGGAAATAAGGGCAAAGTGAAGACAGCATACGTAAATTTACCTATGGGACAGAGTAGTGTGCTAAGGTCACCTGTCACCTCGGTCCTAGCTGTCCCATTCCCCAGAAATGAGAAAATGAGGTCTGATACTCACCTATAAATTTCTGAAGTTTAGCTTTGGGAACTAGTAAGTCGTAAGGGGTTGATGAATAGTAGCTACATATGAAATCATCAATTGGATAAAATTTTTCCCTGGTAATCCTACTGTCTCTGAGATCCCAGGGTCATTATGAGTGACTAACAATGATCTTGGGTGATGACTGGAAGGGGAAGCAGAGTTTGGATGAAAGAAGGTTGCTTTGTGAAGTGCTATGGGTAACAAGGATGTGATGAAGTAAATGCTTGAAAATATATTTAATGTGCTCTTTTCTAAGCAGGAAGCAAAAGGACTATCAGGTAAATGGCCTTAGTATTTTGGGTCAAAGCAAGAAAAATATGCTCTGGTGTAAATTATAACAATAACAGAAACCAGCATTTGTTGGCATTTCCTCTATCCTGGCACCACCATGTGCACTTTATGAGTGTTGGCCTATTAATCAAACCACTGTGTGATGGAAGCTGTGACCACCAGAGATCCCCTCTTATCATGCTGGTTATGGACAAGAAGCTGAGCAAGAAATTAGAAAGCCAAAAACAAACTTCTAATCCCAACTCCAGAAGGCTGTCGGTGACTTTGAATGTATCAGGCAATTTGTCTCTTAGCTTCACTTCTCTTTGTAATTAGAACTCTACAATGCAGACAGGCATGGTGGCTCACACCTGTAATCCCAGCACTTTGGGAGGCTGAGGCAGGAGATTCGCTTGAGGTCAGAAGTTTGAGATCAGCCTGGGCAACATATTGAGATTCTGTCTCTACAAAAAAATAATAAAATTAGCTGGGCATGGTGGTGCATGCCTGTAGTCCCAGCTACTCCAAGATTGAGGTGGGAGGATCACTTAAATCCAGGAGTTAGAGGCTGCAGCGAACTCTGATTGCACCACTGCATTCCAACCTGAGCAACAGAATGAGACCCTGTCTCTAAAAGAAGGAAAAGAATTACATAATGACAAGTTTTAGGTTTCTTGATGGAAACACAAGAGGAGAGAATAGTGACATTCACCTGGGAACTGAACTTTATTCCCTGCAAAAATATCAAAATACCCTAAAATGCATGAATCCTAGAGAATCAATAGGATGTCATTTAGGGGAAAAGAGGGCTAGTGTTTACTTGTTAGGAAACCTAAACTGAAGCTTGGCCAAAGCTAATTGTGGCTCGTGACTTCTGTGTGTTTTGTTGGGGGCTGTGGGGTAGAGGGAAGGAAAGAAAGGTTGCTCCAGGGAGAACAAACACCACAATAAGTGGCGACCGGGTCTTCTAGAATTTGAGGCTGAATTCTTTGGTTACAGTAGAGATTCTCCTTAAAAAAAAAAAAAAAAAAAAAAAAAAAAAAAAAAAAAAACCTCTTGACATTGGAAATTGAAGCTTTTAAAAGCTGTTATTACCCAGCTTTCACTATAAAGGGAATTCTCAATCAGGAATCTTTGCTTGCAGACCATAAACGTACTTCCTTGCCCTGTCCTAAACCCTACCCAGCAGTGGGAGGTTTCTGTGTGTCTTGCCTTCTGCAGATCAAACAGACAATTCCAAATGACTGGCCATACTACCTTGAAGCATTTCACTAGTCCATCTGTCAATCAGAAAGCATTTATTGAATGTAAACTACATACGCTACATAAACAATCTCCAACACTACCAGGCCCTAGAACATGTAAGATGCATGTATATTCAGTGATGAATTTCTTTCTTTAGCTTGAAACTAAAAAGGAGATCCCGATTTGGATTTTATAGCTCAGACATTTCCCTTCACATCTCTAAAATGTACCCCCAAAATGATATTTTGAGCACTTCACAGAAAGGGTGCCAAATATATCAAGGCAGTGGAGAAAGATTTTTTTTTTTACATAAACTCAACCTAGGGAATATACCACAAATAATCCTGTCATGATCATTAAACAAACTTTGAAAACGAATAACAACAATGTACTCTTACACTAATTAAGACCTAAATGGAGATGATTTGTTGTGGATACTGGACTACATTTTAAAATAATTTCCTCTATTGTACTTACTCCATTTTAATGGAAAGATAAGAATTTTGTTTGCATTCATACATTAATAGACTCAACAAATATTTACTGAGTGGCTGTTATGTGTCCAGCCCTGAGCTGGGCATTGTAGGAACAGTAAAATAATGCTTTTCAACTGCTCTCCTCCCACTTATATGATTTAGAAATAGTCACTTGTTTAATCTTCTCATCTATTTATTTCCCAAGAAAATGGTTCTTTTGCATAGTAACTTTTAATACAATATGTGTCAAGATAAAAAGCAGCATGCAATTATCCAATTTTCATCCACTTAAATTTTAATGACCATACTTACTTGCCCATCCAATTTCGAAACTTTTAGTAGCAGTTTGAGACCGGATATTCTCCCAGATTTAGTTCCACATGGCCAATGTCTGTTGGACCATGAATTATTTTTCAGTATGCAGTTTTTTGGTCAAAACAACCTTCCTTTTAAAGTGCGAATATTCAGAATAATTAATAACGTCCCATTTAAACTGCCAATATTCAGAATAATAATTAATCATGTGGTCTATGATTTTATATTTAGAGAGTGACACCCATATACAGTTCTTGAATGTTTTACTCCATATTATGCCTCAGGAACATGGCAAAATGAAGGGCTGGATGATTTCTATCACACATTTGGCTAAAAAAGCAGGAAAAATTAAGCAATAATCTCGGACCTTGAATATTCAAGCAGCCAGACCTGGAGCCCAGCAGATCCCTGGTAGCCTAACCTGAGAATGCAGAAACACAGCTGAGCAGGTCACAATTTCCTTCTCTCAGGTGTGCTTTGAAAAATATATCCATGTCACTGTTTAAATCACTTTTTACAGGGGAAAGATTGTGATTTAGGCTATTTCCACGCATAATCACTTAGATATGTACTTAGTACAGGTGGTTTCAGTATGGTGCTATGCAAAGAGTGGTATTCGCTCTGACTCCAGGCAGGAGATGTCACCTCCACTGGCTTGCCTGCCAAGCTGTGTCTCCGACTGCCTTGAGGCCAATTAGATCAGCACATATTAATACCCTCAAAATCCAACTTTCTCTGTTTACATACATGGACGTGTTTATTACTTGCCACCAGAATTCAGTGAAGAAACCATAATCATAAATACAGCTCCCTAAAGGCAACATAGATCGACTGAAAAAAATTACTAATAGTCGCTAATAATTAAATTATTATAAGTTTATATTCATCACATAAATGACTTTGAAGGAAAGAAAATATGGCAAGGGCAGAAAATGTAAACCTGGATATGCAAAGCATCAAAACAGATGCCTTGTAAAGACTGTAACTTACCCGCCGTGTGACTTTGACTCCATTGCTGTCAATTTCCTTTGCACATGTTCTTGCTCTTCTGAGAAGGATGCTAGGCACAGTCTGGGTACCTCTTAGCCTCTCACATAGAGAAGATCTGCATCTTTTTCTTTTTTTAAAAAAAATTGTAAATGAGTTAAATTCATCTATTCAATGACAGTCTAAGATTGGGTTAAAAACAGGTTATTTACAAGAGACATGTCTGAAAAGAGAAGAGTTCCCTCTTTACTCATTCTTTCAAGCCTAAGGGGTTACCTGCAGCCCTCACACTGCAGACAACCCCTTGTCTTCTCAATGCTTCATTGGTACGTGACTATACCCCCTTATTCATACCACACATTGTTGGCAGTGGATTATTTATAAAAAATAAAGCCTCAAAATTGTTTTAGGCACCAAGATTTTTATTTACTCACCTTCCTGCTTTCTTTAAGGTTATAAACATTATATAAATATTATAAATCAGATTACTCTATTTTGGACCCAGGGTTGTGATAGGAACCCTCTTGTTACAAAATGATGGCAGATATATGCTGGCTTTGTGTTTTTCTGGCCCCTTTCAACCTCTGGCTGTCCCTTCTCTGTCCTTTTTCAGTTGTCCTTTAGTGGTCTAGTCTAACCCCTGTAAAACAGAGACTAAAAGTACCAACCTCATTGTTATGAGGTTTAAGAGAAGGCCCAGCACCAAGCCAGGCTCTCAGGAAAACTCAAACAGTTCCTCCTTGCCTTTGAATATAGCGCCTTCCATCTGTCATGGGCTGAGGAACCACTGAACCAAGCACACGGGTATAAATCCACAGGCCAGGTGAAGGCCTAAGTGGTAAGGTACATGGGCTTTGTAACTCCACTACCAACTTCCGGGCTTAGGAAGGACTGACTTAGTGAGCAGTTCCAAGACCACTGAGCTCACGGTTCCCTGTGGCTGTCTCCCTTGTACCTCCATCCTGACCAGGGCTTGAGGAAGGGCCTTTCGATTCCCCCTTGCCACACTTGCAACAGTATGAGGGGTGCAGCAGAGGCCAAAAACTGAGGGACTAGCACCAGGGAGTCTATGGCAGACACTGACAAACCAATCGCAAAGTTGGTGCCATTTGCTCTTACAGAGGAGAGGCGGGGCCTGGGAAGGACAGCAGCTGGAAGGTGAAGGGCAGGCATGGCTCTCAGTAGCGGTTGTGATCTGGCTTGAAGGGGTTGTCTTAGGACATACCCAGGTACTGAGCCTGCTTCTTGGTCAACTTGTGAGTTTCATATTCAGCTTGCCCAGGTGGGATTCAGCCACAGCCTCATCCAGCTTCTTGGGCAACAAGTGAATCCCACCAGGGTACTTGTCTGGGTGGGTCCACAGCTCAATCTGCACCGTCGCCTGGTTGGTAAAGGAGTCACTCATCACAAAGCCGAGGTGGCCCATGGAACAGCCCAGGATTACCAGCAGACCCTCAACCAGCAGGATGGTGCCGTGCTGCTCTTCAGCCAGTCCTGGCCAGCTGGGGCTTGATGGTCACCTTCTCCACAGTGTTCGCGTTGAGCCACTTGGCATTGATCTCCACATCAAAGGGTTACACATGATAGCATCATCCTTCATCTGCTCAAAGTGCTGGCCAAGGATGATGTCAACACAGCCTGTGGCAGTGACAAAGATGTTGCCCTCCTGACAGGCCTCATCTACCACAGTCACCTCATAGCCCCCCATGGCAGTCTGTAGCAGGTTGATGGGGCCGATCTTGGTGATGACGAAGGGGTCCCCAAAATCCCACAGGGCCTGGGCACAGCCCTTGCCCATGTCGCCATAGCCTGCCACCATGGCTACCTTGCCGACAATCATCACATCCGTATCCCTCTTGATGCCATCTATGAGGGACTCCCGGCAGCCTTAGAGGCTGTGAAACTTGCTCTTGGTGATGGAGTTGTTGACGGCAGGTACCTTCAGGATCCCCTTGGCCATCATCTTATGTAGGTTGTGGACCCTAGTGGTGGTCTCCTCAGAGATGCCTTGGATGCCCAGTAAGAGCTGTGGGTACTTGGTGTGGATGTGGTTGGTGAGGTCACTACCATCATCCAGAATCATGTTGAGGGGCACGTCTTTGAAGTAGTGAATGTTGGATGCATGACAGTTACCCCTTGCTTGTTTCACCCTTCCAGGCATGCACTGGAATGACAGCCTTGGCAATGGCAGCCATCACCTGGTCCTGGTGGAGAAGATGTTGCAGCTGGAACACTGTACCTCAGCATCCAGGGAGACAACGGGTCTCAGTGAGGATGTCTCTCTCCACGGTCACATACGGCCAGCCAGAGATATGGGTGCCCTTCAGTGGCTTGGAGCCCAAGTACAGCTCCCACACACTCATCAGACCCAGCATCTCATTCTCCGCAATATCCAGGCCCTTGTGTCCCCAGGAGGCCAGGTCGATGTCAGCAACTTTATAGGACAGTTTGTCAGACATGCTGGCAACGCTTCCACAAAGTGTGATGGACACGGAGAAAGGGGGCTGGGCCTCAGAGAGGGGACAGGCATGGGGCAGGTGGCACTGAGCAGGGCAGATCTGCATTTTCTAGTCCTTATCAGCTTCTGACCTGGCTGCTCATGTTTAATGCAACAACATTGTTTTCATCAGGCTAAGCTAGATTTTGCTGCAGTGACAGGTCACTCAAAAATCTGTGTGGCTTTTCACACACACAAAATATGTTTCCCACTCACACCACATATTCAACACAAAGAACACAGGGAGGCTTGGCTCATCCTAAACACATGAAGACCTGGCCTAACGGAGGCTCCATTTGGATATATTCTTCCACAGTCTCTAGAGATGAACATGGGAATCAAGTAAACGACACTCAAGCTCTTAAAGCTTCCCTCCCAATATAAAATAATTACTGGCTAAAGCATGGCCTTACCTAACTCCAAGAAGGTAAGGAAATGCAATTCTACCAAGTGCCTAACAGGAAAATAAAAATATCTGATAAATGGTACTGATGATTTCCTAAAGTACATCCACAAAATAAGGAGCTGACATTTTTTATTTTGAGCTGGAATATACTCCAAGACTCTGAACTGACAAATGATAAAAAATATAATATATACGGCCAGACACTGTCCCCTGTTTGTTAAGCAGTGGCAGAACCACCCCTGCTACCATTCCAGTGACCATCCCCTGCTTCCCAGTTTATATAAGAGGATTACAGAGTAAAGAAGGATGGAAGGGCTCTTGGATCCTCATAGATCTGCAGTGTCAGGAATGAAAAGGGGTCTCCCTCTCTTCTCCATAATCAAATAAATGGGGCTTTATGAGACCCTGTGGTTTGATGAGGAGTGTCTACAAGGAGGGGACACCAGTGCCCCACTTCCCAGCTGAAAGCTTGCTGTCATTCAGAATTGGAAAAAACTACTTTAAAGTTCATATGGAACCAAAAAAGAGCCCGCATCGCCAAGTCAATCCTAAGCCAAAAGAACAAAGCTGGAGGCATCATGCTACCTGACTTCAAACTATACTACAAGGCTGCAGTAACCAAAACAGCATGGTACTGGTACCAAAACAGAGATTTAGATCAATGGAACAGAACAGAGCCCTCAGAAATAACGCCACATATCTACAACTATCTGATCTTTGACAAACCTGAGAAAAACAAGCAATGGGGAAAGGATTCCCTATTTAATAAATTGTGCTGGGAAAACTGGCTAGCCATATGTAGAAAGCTGAAACTGGATCCCTTCCTTACACCTTATACAAAAATTAATTCAAGATGGATTAAAGACTTAAACATTAGACCTAAAATGATAAAAACCCTAGAAGAAAACCTAGGCATTACCATTCAGGACATAGGCATGGGCAAGGACTTCATGTCTAAAATACCAAAAGCAATGGCAACAAAAGCCAAAATTGACAAATGGGATCTAATTAAACTAAAGAGCTTCTGCACAGCAAGAGAAACTACCATCACAGTGAACAGGCAACCTACAAAATGGGAGAAAATTTTCGCAACCTACGCATCTGACAAAGGGCTAATATCCAGAATCTACAATGAACTCAAACAAATTTACAAGAAAAAAAACAAACAACCCCATCAAAAAGTGGGTGAAGGACATGAACAGACACTTCTCAAAAAAAGACATTTATGCAGCCAAAAAACACATGAAAAAATGCTCACCATCACTGGACATCAGAGAAATGCAAATCAAAACCACAATGAGATACCATCTCACACCAGTTAGAATGGCAATCATTAAAAAGTCAGGAAACAACAGGTGCTGGAGAGGATGTGGAGAAATAGGAACACTTTTACACTGTTGGTGGGACTGTAAACTAGTTCAACCATTGTGGAAGTCAGTGTGGCGATTCCTCAGGGATCTAGAACTAAAATACCATTTGACCCAGCCATCCCATTACTGGGTATATATCCAAAGGACTATAAATCATGCTGCTATAAAGACACATGCACATGTATGTTTATTGCGGCACTATTCACAATAGCAAAGACTTGGAACCAACCCAAATGTCCAACAATGATAGACTGGATTAAGAAAATGTGGCACATATACACCATGGACTACTATGCAGCCATAAAAAATGATGAGTTCATGTCCTTTGTAGGGACATGGATGAAATTGGAAATCATCATTCTCAGTAAACTATCGCAAGAACAAAAAACCAAACACCGCATATTCTCACTCATAGGTGGGAATTAAACAATGAGAACACATGGACACAGGAAGGGGAACATCACACTCTGGGGACTGTTGTGGGGTGGGGGGAGGGAGGAGGGATAGCATTAGGTGATATACCTAATGCTAAATGACGAGTTAGTGGGTGCAGCACACCAGCATGTCACATGTATACATATGTAACTAACCTGCACATTGTGCACATGTACCCTAAAACTTAAAGTATAATAATAATAATAATAATAATAAAAAGAATCAGAAAAAAAAATTAAACCTTTCCTTTATAAATTAAAAAAAAAAAGAAAAGAAAATGCAAGTCGGCCAGGCGCGGTGGCTCAGCCTGTAATCCCAGCACTTTGGGAGGCCGAGGCGGGTGGATCACGAGCTCAGGAGATGGAGAACATCCTGGCTAACACGGTGAAATCCGTCTCTACTAAAAATACAAAAAATCAGCCTGGCGTTGTGGTGGGCGCCTGTAATCCCAGCTACTCAGGAGGCTGAGGCGGGAGAATGGCATGAACCCGGGAGGCGGAAGTTGCAGTGAGCTGAGATTGCGCCACTGTACTCCAGCCTAGGCGACAGAGCGAGACTCCGTCTCAAAAAAAAAAAAAGAAAATGCAAGTCATATAGGCCCACCACTAGAGAGCAGCGAATGAGAGTGCCCTCAGGGAAACCTGACAGTATATTCTGGTTGTAAAGGGCATAGAGACTGTCAAGACTAGTGTCTACACCTGGTCTAGCTGTTTCTGAGGTGGGAAGGACTGTGGAAATAGTGTTTGGTAGCAGAGTAGACATGGATATAACTTTCCCTAGTTTCCTCAGTCCTCAGAGGCAGGGGGAAAAAAAACGGAATTTAGTATTGGACATGACTCCATAGAAGGAATATAGGGATAAAAGGAGGGGAGACCCTTCCCCAAGAGAGTGTTGAATGAAAGCACAGAGCACTAAAAGGGCCCAAGGGACTTCCTCCCTTTGAAGGAGTCCTCAGCAGAGGGCCACCCTAAACAAACCCCTATATCTTCTATGCAGAGGCCATTGCATCAGAAGAGACCACCAGCATCAGGTAAAACAAGACCAAGCCAAGAGTGAGACCAGGACAATCTCCCCAGCACCAATGGACAACCATGTGTGAAAGAATATCTCTGATACTCTTATCCCTACCCCTAACCCTGTCTCAAACTCAAAAGACTAGGCCTACCCAGAGAAATGAAAGAAGAGAAGAGGGGCTGGGCATGGTGGCTCACACCTGTAATCCCAGCACTTTGGGAGGCCGAGGTGGCCGGGTCACGAGGTCAGGAGATCAAGACCATCCTGGCTAACAAGGTGAAACCTGTCTTTACTAAAAATACAAAAAATTAGCCAGGTGTGGTGGCAGACACCTGTAGTCCCAGCTACTCGGAAGGCTGAGGCAGGAGAATCACTTGAACCCAGGAGGTGGAGGTTGCAGTGAGCCGAGATCATGCCACTGCACTCCAGCCTGGGCAACAAAGCCAGACTCCATCTCAAAAAAAAAAAAAAAAAAAAAAAGAAAAGAAAAAGAAGAAGAAGAGAAAAGAAGAGGAGAAAAGAAGAGGAAAGGCAAAACGGGACCCATTCCATGGGATTGAAGAGTGGGTAATGAAAGAGCAGTGTTTCTCTCAATTATATTACCTCTTTCTAAGATTTTTAATAAAACATGATAATTATGACAGTATCAAATGTTGCAGCAAAATGCTTGGTCACAGCCACTTAGCATTGACATCTCTACTAATAGAACTTTCTATCTAAGTCTTTTTTTTTTACCTGAGACGGGGTCTTGCTCTTGTTGCCCAGGCTGGAGTGCAGTGGCACGATCTTGGCTCACTGCAACATCCGCCTCCAGGGTTCAAGCAATTCTCCCGCCTCAGCCTCCCGAGTAGTTTGGATTACAGACGCCTGCCACCACACCAGGCTAATTTTTTGTATTTTTAATAGAGAACGGGGTTTCACTATGTTGGCCATGCTGTTCTTGAACTCCTGACCTCGTGAAGCACCCACTTCGGCCTCCCAAAGTGGTGGGATTACAGGCGTGAGCCACTGTGCCTGGCCCCCTTCTATCTAATTCTAAACCACTCCCCTGGCAAGTATTCCAGCACTAGCCACGTCATGAGGAAGCCTGCAAATGTGTTCTGCTATTGTGAATTACACATGGTTTAATTTTGTTTTAATCAAATTAATTCCTCTCACATTACATGAGCTCAAAATTATAGTGACAGTCTTAAACCAATTGTAAATGCAGACTTTGATTAATCTTTAAAAGGGCAAGTTCAACAGCATTTCATAGAGCAAAGAGGTGAAGCAGAAAAATAATTGTAGTGTTCCTGTTTATTTAAAAAAAAAACTACTTCTCCAGATTTCACATTCCTAGTGATAAAGGGAAATTGTAGCACCTATTTATACTGTGTAATATGTATCAAGCATTTCCAGGTTTTCTCCACTTTTCTGTAAAACTTGGAAAAGGTATTGGATCTTGGCTCACAAATACAGACCTTGAATATTTTAATTGGGAATCACACAATCATACATATGCTATATTAGATTATTTTTCTATGAAAATTCAGTAGCTGAGCCAATACGAAAACTCCTCAAATATTTTAACAAATGTCCAGGTGCTGTCATCCCATTTGGTACCCTTTGCAATTTGTCTTTTACATTGAAGGTTTCTTGCCATGTCGGAATCAAAAGCATATCCTGATGTGAATTTTTGGCCAGGTGAAAAGCTTTAAAAACGTTTTAGGGGAATATTGAGCGTCTCTTAATAGAGCGAATTTTGTTCTCATCATTTGTTTTGGCCCCACCTACATAGATTATCCTCGCTAGTTCTGCCTTCTTATATTCAGAAGGGCAAAAACAATATTTAAAAGAATATATTGTACAGAACAAAGTCTCTCTAGAACACAAGGAGGAAAACATTACGTAAAAAGGAAGGGGCAAGATGGAATTATATTTCTTTCTAGACCTATGACCTGAGTTCCCTAGAGCAGCACTTCCAATAGAAATACCAGGTAAGCTGCAAATGAGAGCCGCATATGTAATTTTCAATTTTCTGGTAGCCACATTCAAAATAAATAAAAAGAAACAGGTGAAGTTAACTTTAACAATATATTTTATTTAACCCAATACTTTCAAATTATTGTCATTTTAACGTATGATAACATAACATGTATTAATGTGGTGCTTTAAATTCTAATTTTTGCACGGTCTTCAAAATTCAGTGTGCATTTTACATATACAGCACATTTCAAGTGCTCAATAGCCATGTGACATTAGCAGCCACCTATAGCCAAAACAGCTCTGAAGAAGAAGCTCTGCAAAAGATCTGTTAACGTGCATACAAGTAGCCTCTATACCTATGCTGGTGGAATTCTAATGCTAACGCTAATAATAATGACTGTAATAATGATAGAATTAGAATACTCTTAATTTTCATTATGATTGAAGCTCTGTAACAGGTTGTTACAACGGTGTTTAGGAAGCAAGCATCATCTAGCACTTACAGATGAGGAAACTGAGGTTCAGCACTTGCCTGATGTCACTGAGCTGACAAGAACTCTCTAGCTTGGATGGAATCCAGATCAAGCCCACAGCTGTGTTCTCTCCCACACACCCAATGACACTCATCCCAGAATGTGGTCCTGAACAAGACCAGTGTGGGGCTAGACCTTGCTGCCAGAGTACTTAGATCACTGGCAGGTTTTGAGGAAACCTGGGGTAGGCTTTGTGTTTCACGTATCCCAGGATTTCTCCTAAGGACTGCAAAATAAGTGAGGGTATGACTCTCTCAGGGATTAAGTCAGCTCTGATGGAATTCCTGAAAGTCTGTATCAAGTCATGAATGTCCATTTTCCCAGATGCTCAGGAATCACTGGAGATGCTTACCTCTTGGGGCACGCTTAGAGCACTCAGTAATTTAACTCATCTAAAGTCACACAGATGATAACCGCAAGAGCTAGCTGTACACCTCTGCCTGCCTGATTTTCCACAGCCTCCTTCGTGTGTCCTTTTTGGCCTGTACCTTGGAGAATCATATCTGATGCTTATTTATTCTCACCAAAAAACAACAACAACAACAACAAACAGTGAATAGCCCTTCATCCATACAATGTCTTTGCTCGGTAAGATAGAGAAGAGCTCCCAGCCCTCAAAAAAAAAAATAATAAATTGAGGGCAGTCTCATAGGAGATTTCAACCCCAGGGTTGTAACAGGCCGGGGTTTATGCTCGGGGTTAATAATGCTAATAATAATGATTGTAATAATGATAGAATTAGAATACTCTTAATTTTCACTATGATTAAAGCTCTGTAACAGGTTGCAACAACCTGTTTCAATATGAACAACAAGCTTCAATCATAGTGAAAATTCAATCATACTGAAAATTGAGAGTATTCTAATTCTATCATTATTACAGTCATTATTATTAGCATTATTAACCCCTGAGCATAAACCCTGGCCCACTGAATGCTTGACATGTCCAGACACATCTGTGGGGCTGGTGGGTGAGCCCTCTTTGCACAAAAGCTGGAGCAGGCTATGGGGATGGGACAAGTGTCCTCTGGGTTGTGGCAGGAAGGACAGTTCATCTGAGCAGAGCATGCTGCTTAATACTCAAATTTTTCTGCTGCTCACGCGTCAGTGACTCCTGGCTGAAACCTGGGGTATGAGGCTGCAAGGTAAGAACTCTAAGTGGTCCCCTCACTGCATCTCTACGGGCATTGACAGTGCAGCGACTTTGACAGGACAATCAAGAATCATTGCATGGCCGGCCCAGGCACTGCACCCACCAAAGTACACATCCTGGGAGGGCAGGGGGCACGGTGGGGCCTTCCATGGGCCTCAGCAGCAGGGGACAGCCCTCTATGGCTCCCAGCTGCAGAGATGCTGCCTCTGACACCAGGGGATCTCAGAGGCTTTATCACAGTAAGTCATAGCAGGAAAGAAGGGTAACCAGCAAAGGAGGCAGTCATCCCTCAGACCCCCTTTTAAACACAAGAGAACATTTCAGGGATGCTGAGACAGAGATCATCTACTTTGCCTCGCTTTTATCTGAGTATATTCAGACTAGGGTTGCCAGATTTACCAAATGAAAATACTAGACACCCAGTTAAATCTGAATTTCAGATTAACAATGACTAATTTTGGTGTAAATATGTCCTATGCAACATGCTACTAAACATACTACCAAAATGTTGTTTGTTGTTTATCTGAAATTCAAACTTAATTAGATATCCTGCATTTTATCTGGGGTGCATAATCTGACCCCATGCTAGTTTATACACAAAATATGAGTTTCTAATTCTTTCACTGTGAGACTTGGATGGCAAATAGCATGGCCATTAAAAGGCCCAGATGGAAGTCAAAAAGCCCACATATGAAATTAGCTCTGACACCTATCAAATATGTGGCCTGAACAGTTGGAATTGTTTATCTCAGCTTGATTGTCTTCATTTGTAAAATGGAAACTGTATCTCTTCCTTCAGCTATTATTAGGATTTAATGAACCAATAAGTGGTCAGTAAGTAGAGGATATAATTATTCCAGAAAATGTTCTTGTGTAAATATCAAAAATAATCAACATTTATTATTGTGCATATACTTTGTATCTAATGCCCAATTGCTGTGGGATTATCCTAATTGCCTTTCAATCTCATAGAGTAAGTTTTTAAAAAAATTTTAATAACAGTGGGAACACTTTAAAAATGATTTTAGATCTTAAAAGTTCTGATATTGGATACCTTAGAAATTTTAGGAAACAGAACCAAGTGATTCAGGAATAAAATGGATGGCATTCTATCTTAATAATAAAAATAAAAATGTTACTTAAATTTAAAACAAATTACTGCAGTATTTACAGAAGGGTCATGCATCAAAAATACTAAGCTTTGGAAAATACTTTTTTAGCATTTATAAGGTACAGCAACTGTTCCTGAAATCCTAGATTCATCAATGATGTGTGTTCAGTGTTCAGACAAGCTCAGTCACTGATATAATCATTGATACATTAGACCAGTGTCTGAGAGCACACACACACAGAAATACAAACAACACATACACATACAAATGTACTTTTCTTGAAGCCATAGAGAATCTCAGAATTCTGAGAGGGAGAAGATGTGCCACTATTTGACAGTAACACTTGGCAATAGTTCTGACAGTTTGAGGAGAAGCCAATCTCAGTGGTAAAACCCTTTTATGGGCCCTTGGCTGGGACATTAAAATAGGAGTATAGTGAACGAGAAAAGCAGGGTTGGCGAGAACATGAGGCAGGCTTCACTTTGTTTATTTCTGCCTTCACTGTAAACTGTGCTCATGGCGGAATTTACATTGTGCCAGTTTTGCGTCGCCTCGTAGAGTACAGACCAGGGCAAGTGAAGGGAGATTGGAGAAATGAGAGTTAAGGGGGTTCTCTCTTCTCATTTTAGCTTTTAGCAAAATTTTGAATTTATCAAATGGCTTTAGCTTTGCTAAAGTCATTGAGCTCCTACTATATCCCAAGAGCTAGGTTAGCGCTTATCCTTGCCCGTGTGCAAAATGGGAATAATAACCATATCTATTTCATAGGGATGTCCTAATGATGAAGTACAAGAATGCTTATAAAGTGCTTGTCACCAGCGGCTGGCAGGGAGTAAACATTCAATAACTGTTAAGCCTAAAACTGAATGGTAAATTTAGAGCATTATAATTATTGAGCAGTGAGTCAGTACAGATCCAGGATTCAAACTGGGCAGCCTGGCTCCAGAGCCAGCCCTCTTAATCACTATCTTGCACTGTCGCCATCAATTATCCATTAATTTTCATAGAATATTTGAAAGTGCATCATTGTGGTTATTCTTAATATTGATAAAATGAGGCACAGGGAATGTTAATGGTTTGGCCAAGATTTTAAGAAAAGGGAAGCTTCATCTCACAGCCACCATTCTCCACAGTAGTTTGGTAAATAAACCTTAATCAATGCGCACAGCACACTATTAGAGAAAGTACTGTAGGAAAAAATAATTAAATAATTAGAAGACATGGTCCCCACATGGAGTCGGCTTACTTTCTGGTCAGGAAGATGAAGCCAACACCGATGACTCAAAAAAGAATCAATGAGTAGTAATGCACGCCATGTGAATACATGGATATAAAATGTGCATACAAAGAATTGAAAGGAGAAAATTGAGAGGGAGCAGTCCCAGAAGCTTCCAGGAAAAGGGAAATGTAGAGCCAAGTTTAGAAAGAAAAGAGGGGTATGGCTTGGCAGAGTCTTCTCACTCCAGCCACCTTGCCAATCAACAAATCCTCCTTGTCCAAGGGCCGTCCCCAAAGGGAACCGTGATGGCGGGTGTGTGCGCAGCTCCAGCCTGCAGCCCTCCCCGCGAGGAGAGCAGGAGACAAGTCAGTCTCCGCTCAGAAAATGGCCCTTGACAAATGGCCAAAAGAATTCACCAGTGTGGTAGAAGATGACCCATTCCAAGAGAAGGGAAAAAAACCTTTATATAAAGATGGAGTCGTGTAAAAAATCCCAACCCTCCCCGCCCCCCCTTTTTTTTTTTCCTGTGGCATTGTAAATTATTTCCTTGCCAGTCTTAGAATGCACACTGGCTTTTCATACTTCAATATCTGGATTTACATGTGCTCTACAGTGTACTCCCTTTTTACCCTTCCCCCTTTCTGTGCTCTTATTCCCACCCTCTTCCTCTTCCCACACCACCCCAAAAGACAAACAAAAATAAAACAAACAAACAAACAAATATGTGGAACTTCTTACTTGGAATGATTCAAGAGTCTCTATACTATTAAGACACTGAGTAATGATTGGCTGCCTTCCAGGTGGCTCTGCAGTCTGTTAAATAGCTCAATTAGTGAGCAGCGCTCTCTCACTCGCTCTCTTGCATGCACTCTCTCTCTCTCTCATTGAATTTTGCCAAGTGCATGCTGCATTGTTGGAAGGGGCAGTGCCAAATTAGCCTAGCAACATCCCTTTATAGCCCTAACGTCTGGGACACCTCAGAGCAGCAGAGAAATCACCGTTCCCCAGGCCTTGCCGGGACTACGAGGCAGCAGAGAGCATTGTGGCAGGACGGTTTTTCCTTCTGAAGGGTGGTTAATGAGCAATGTAGGTGAAGACCCCTGAGAGATACCTGGGCATCCTGCCCACCCAAATAGAAGACCGCGTTGAGATGGCAGTCGGAGATGGAGCCCATGACCAGAGAGAGGGACAGAGGAGAGGAGCGCGGGGACAGTGCCGGACACAAAGTAAAAGCGCTGCCAGTTCATTTAGGTCTGAATGATTTTAAGTAAGCCTTGAATCTTTTCTTTAAAAAAACAATAGCAGCAATATAATTCTTAAACAAAATATATAAGCCAAAAATGCCAGTGCAATGTAAATCAGCTGTCTGCCTTTAACACCGTTTATTCCAGAGCTCAGCCATCAATTTCTCATTCTGTCTTCCTATAAAAGAAGGTTTAGGCACACACCCTCCACCTACCAAACACACCTAAAGTGAGCCCTCAAATTGGTGCTATATTTATGTCTATTTGTGGTTCAACCAGACATAAACAGTGTCAGAAAAGAACAAATGAGAAAGCTGCATTCTATACAGAGTACACAAGCCCTACATAATTCACAACCCCTCAGTTGAAACTTGTTGCAGAGCTCTGAAAATTCATACAGAAAGCAGGACATTCATGTTATAAGGTAAACATATTTAGTCTGTTGTCTGTTTCAGTAACACATTTATTGGTACAGGCTATGTGATACTGATGTATTCATTACATCTTGGCATTTACAATATACAGTATTTCGCTGTTTGACTCATTACAGCCTTCATACCAATTAGGTGAAAGAAAATATTGTTTGCAAAAATACTTTTAGGGGGATTACATTTATCCTAGAATATTATGTATCACAATTTTAGAAACATTAAGCCCCAACATTTACATATAATTATTATGGTTATACCCTAGAGAAGATATTTAAATGTCTCTACCCTATCTATTGGGTATATGTTTCCCTTGGAAGGAAAACCCTGTCAAACAATTAGAGTGCCGAAAGAAGTGAAAATATTCTTGGTTGCTAAATTGGAGTAAAAGTTGCCCCAAGATAAAAATTTTTAATGTAAAATTGCACTTTGATTCGGGTGGTTTATTTTTGTTATGACATTATGGGAATTTTATTCTTTGAATTTTAAGCATAAAATCATACAACTCAATTATCAAGATATTTGCACTGAGAAAATCAAATACTGAAATTAGACCGGTAGATTTTTATGTGGACTTGAATCTGCTTCTTTGTAATTTCCGTGGGTACTTGGAAGTGTTTTGCCATGAATGCTAATGTGCTTTGTGTTTTAAGTAGTGATTCTGCACATTTTGAAACACAGGCAAATTTGAGCTGGGGATACAGGCAGAGCACTTTGTTGGATGCTGCTGAAGGAAATCATAAAGGTCCTTCAAAAATGAAATCTCTAAATATGTATTTTTCAGATGGAAAGACATTGTACCTATGAAAGCCTGCCTATCTTTTGTCTGGATATATACCTTAATAAGAAAGATAAAGTTAATTTTAATTTTAATAGTAAGTCCTCACTACCTTCACACATAGCCATATTTTCTAAAGGGCAGACCAAAGGCAATAAGAGATACCTGTATAAGTCACTAGTAAAATACTGCTTTAGGATAATCCCTCATCTGTTCCCCCACCCCTTTTTTTTTCTGAAAAAACAAGGAAGGAAAATGAGAGAGAGAAAGAAAGCATAATCAAAAGCCTACATGACAAAGAGTTGACAGTCAGATTCTGTGGTAAATGATTCCAGAGTCGCTGGCCTGCGGAGACGCTGAGGAAGTCCCCAGCAGACCTGATTAATTCCAGTCTCTCCAGCTGCCAGGGGAGCAGAGGGTAAGCAGTTTCGCAGAGAGGAGCCTATTACCACTACTAGGCTGAAATAGATCTAATCAACTCACAGCCGCTCAAAAGAAAACTTTACAGGTTTAGCTCACTAAGGCAGTGCTTTAAAATGATGACTACAAAGGACCATGGGAGTCTAAAAGCATTTAGTCTTTATTGCAGCTCAAGGAAATTTTCTGCTGTGGTTAGGCCATGCTAATTTACTGAACATGACAAAGCCTCCTAGACTGTGTGACATCATTTGTTTAAAGGCCCCAGTGCTCATACTGGACAATTTCGAATACTACTTTTTTTTTCTTCAAAAACAGTTAATTTGTTGATATTTCATCGGTTTGGGCTAATTACATGCACCATTATAAATGTCTGAACTAACCTACTTTAACATTTAATTTAAACAACAATGCTCTGTAATTTGTCATGGTGCTCACAAAGTGATGAGTATTGCAACTTTGTTTTCTAAGCAATCAACATTTTATCAGTGAATCTTAGGAGGAAACTCCTGGCAGAAAGGAGATCCTGGGAATCTGATACAGTGTTCACTTCCCTTCCCCAGCATCAGAATTTAAGTTATATAGCAATTTGTGTCAGAATAGTCGAAATGGATTGAAAACTATATGAACTAATAAACACTATAGCAAATAAAGTTCTAGATTTTTAAAAGTATTTTGTACCCTAGGTTGGGTTTTATAACCACCTTCTTTTTAATGGAAAATAAACAGAGGGAAAATTATTAAGGCCAGATTGAAACCAAGTAGCCATTTGTCTTTTTTTTTTTTTTCAGTTGTTGGAAATCTTAGTAAAGATTTGCAGAGTAAAATCTGCTTTTGTTTAAATAATCAAGATTTGGAAACTGCACGAGTTACATGATATGTTGTTTAGAATGCTGTGTGTGATAGCAAATATGCACACACATGCTTATGAAATTCATTGATTACTAATGAATTCCCTGATCATACCACCAACAGAAAATTAAAGGGGAGTACTCAAGTCATTGAATTTAAGTTAATTACAGATGATAATCTGCAAACTGCTTCCTTCAGAAATTTTAAGTCCAAGGAAGATACAGTAGAACCCAAAAGATGAAGAGTGAGGAAGCAGAGATAAGATAAATGATGGGTGCACGTTGTGCACATGTACCCTAAAACTTAAAGTATTTTAAAAAAAGATAAATGATGGAAAGTTGGAACTTTTATCGTCACTTCTGAGCCTCTCTGTTTAGACATTATGTCAATGTCTAACCCCCATTATGTCCTGGGGGTTAGAGGTGTGTGATGCGGGGAGAGGGTGCAGCTGAGCAAGGCTACTAGGCATGCCACAATTTCAGAAAAGCAAAATGTCCCAAGAAAAAGTCCCAATATTGCACTGGGATCTGACTTTTAGATGTAGAGAAACACACTTGCCTGATGATCATTTGCATAGAACTGAACACAACACCTAGTAATATCGTTAGTATTGTTATATGAGTTATAGTTGTTATTCATATGCTCAGAGCTCTTGATCATCAGTTTTTTTCCCCCTTAAAACAGATTTTTGAGCTATTTATCCCTAGCTGATTCAGAGGTCATGGAGGTGCCTGGACTTTCCTACATGTCAAGGAGTCCAAGATGCATCATAAATACCCATATTTGAATATGGATTTGGAAATGTCTAAATTTTATCAGAACATTACCTTTGGTTCTGTTATGTCCTTGAACTACATCACTGGAGTTCAAGCAGGATTTGTGTTTCAGATCAGCAAAACATTTCCTTTTCTGAGGCTTTTTCAATTTTGTCTCATTCGAATAATATTAAACTACTTAAAATGTCAACACCAAAAATCCAGCAGTACCTGTAGACTAGATATAAATGCCTATGGAACCACAGATCTGAACAGGTCAGTCCTCCAGGCACCAAGGGCCAGATTTACGTCTATCTCTTGCAGTGACAGTTGGTTCCTACTGGCCTCAAATGTGCAAGCAATTAGACAGCTGTATGTATAATTGGTTTGACATGCTCCGTTTTTTCTTCCAGAGAGAAAAACTTCCTTTAAAAATTTCAAGGATGAATTTTTGATGATATAGATAGCTTTTTGAAATATGATATTTTATCATTTATTTGGATCTAATGGAGATCCAAATAAAAGTGTGATATTTTGAGAAAGTATTAGATGTGTATGGCATCAGATGGTTGGCTTGATCCTTGAATAGAGAACTAGGCTGTTGGAGCCCAGGTCATGAATACCCATATCAAAATCTGCCTGTTTGTTTCAGTCTGTTCTAAAACCTAATGACAACCTAGTACTTAGTATTGTTGGAAAAAAGAATCGTTGATGGGAGGATAGGCAGGGCTAGGTAAGAGAAAAATAAAAAGATTAGTATAAGCCTGTATCTAGAAAACAACTCAAAGCAAATGACCTACCGAAGCCCAACCAGTAGTATCATTTTCACCTACAAACAAGAACTCTTGGAACTTTCTCTTTGTTATTTGGAAAGAAAAACAAAAGTACTAATAATCAAACTCAAGGTTGGATAGCTTTAAGAGTAAGGAAAAAAAGAAATTACTCATGAAGTTAGAACACTGAAGAAATAGAAGTGAGATGGATCACCACAGGAAAATCCTGAATGAAGCAAATGTTTTCTTGAGTACAAGGATGTATAATTTTAGGAAAGATTGAGCTATTTGCCATCTTGCTTATGTATATGTTGTTGGATTTACTTATTATGGATTTTACCACTTTAGTGTCATGGTTAGTGTTAAAGTACGTGGGGTGTGTGTCTAATTGATGTCATGCCTATCCCAGGAAGTCACTAAGGAGCAGCCCTGTCACAACAGCCTCCAAAGGACAGAGAGTGAACCACAGAGGAAATTCGAATGCATGTACAGTGGGTTCCATTACCAGGGAGCCTGAGCTTGGGACAAGAGGAGCTCATCACCACCAGAAAATACTACCAACATGCCCAAGAGTTTGTTTCCCATACTTTTAAAGAAAAAGAAAAATGGATGGTTCTGAAATCACCTGGGTTTGTTTTATTACATTATATCTTCTGGCAAGATCAGTGATGGCAGATGTGATTCAGCAATAGAAGCATGGCTGTACTGGTAGGTTTTTAAAATAAATTCAAGGGCTGTACTTTCTGACTGGCTACCTCCCTGTGGTTTGGCTTTTTAATGGAGTTCAATAGGCTTCATGTTTCTTATTATGATTTCCTTTAAAATCTCTGTATACGATAATGTTTGTGCTACTGGATATTGTTCTAGTTTTATTTAAATGCCACATCTTCAACACAGTATAGTAAAGATGTGCTAATTAAACTCAATCTATTTTACATCAATTAATTCAGACTGTGATCTCTCATCAGATTGCATATGTTAAGTAGGACTTAGGGCTGGTCAACAGATGTAAACTATTCAGAAATGTGGTGAGAAACCAACTCCAATGACAATTCCTGAGCCAGATTTTTTTTTTTACTTGTTCAGATGCTAAAGGATTGTATTTCAGTTCAGCTACATATTGGACATCAGAGAAGGCTACATTTTATGGCTCCCTTGAGTATATGTCAGTTGTAGTTATTTTAATTATTTCTAACATTTAGTTCTCCTGAAATGGCCACCCTTACTTTGATGCTTGCATTGATGAAGGCCATGATCACTGAGCAGCACGGTGCTAAACTGAATGAGAATAGCACAAGGTGACTTTATATACATTACACACATCCCTTCCTTCCAGGAAGCGGTCCGCCTCCCCACCAAAAACACAAGAAAAGCACCACCAAATTTGACTTTTTAATAGACAGTTTCTGCAAAAAAAGCTACACAAAACAGTAAGCATTAAAATTATTAATAGCCCTGTTTCTGTGTTCTTGGGAGACAGTGACAGAGTTTACATGCTAGCGAATCTTGCATACGCAAAGGTCAGGCACTCCATGCCTCAAAAGACAAATCCACGAAAATATGAAGACCACCATATGTAAGACCCAGCATTCCCATCACATCTCTCTAGTGTGAATGTGGGGAAGTTTATTGGTAGAGTGAAGTTTAGAGTTTCACACAGAATTAAGAGGTTTCTTTGAAAAGTCTATATGGTTATGTTCCTAGTGACAGAAAGAGTGATGTCTGAGAGTGAAAAGGCTATGCAAATTACAACTATTCCAAATCAAAGTTGAAGTCCAAAGATCTCTGGCCAATCAAAGGGTTCGTTTCTGCCCCCTGGTGGATGGAGAGGCATTTCCACACGCCCATTATGTTAGTTGTAAAACAGGGACTTCAATGGGTTTTCTGAGAGTAGGTTTCTGAAAAAGACAAACAGTGATGTGGTCAGATTTAACCAATTTTCTTTTAGTGAATGCTTTGTAACAAAGTAAAAACTTAATATGGGCAATTCTGTGCTTCCTCTGTCCTTTAGCATGTGACATGACATTTTTATTGGGGCAAGTGGCTCTGTGTATTATGGTCTTGTGTTACTCTCCACCATGTGTTTCTCTCCATATCAATTTCTTTTCCTTTCTCATCTGCTCATATCCAAAATAGAAGCTAAAAAGAGAAAGGAGACTTCCATCTCCCATTATTTTCTTCCTTGCATTTTTTTTTTCTGGCATCCGTTCTCCTAAGTTTCACTCCTTTTCCTTACCTTTTCCTCCCTGATGTCCATGGTGGTATTTGCTATGCTATGCTTTCAACAGGTGGATGATTTTATAGGACTAGCAACTTACAGTTTTCATTTATTTTCCAGGTCAAATAAAGCAAAAACAATATGAGAACAAATTAATAAATGCATGATAGTATGGCATCCAGAGCGATTTCATGTAGATTTTGCCACCCTTATAGAAGTATTTTTGAGTGTGATAAGCTCTGAAATTTTATAAAATTCTTGCCAAAGGTAAAAATAATATGTAGTGATGACATTCCCTTTTCACAAATGCACATATTGTAGAACCTGTGCCTAGCCACAGGATCTCACAATCTTTTGGGATTGGCAATTCACACAGTGCAAAATCCCATTTGCAACATAGCTTTCCCCAATCCCATGGGATTCATTGTGAGAGCATTTTAATATAATAGTTTTCTTACAGTTGAGAACTCTGGAAAGATAGCCCCTAGTCTAAGACAGAGGAACATTCAGCAGTTGTGATAATGAATTGATAGCATAAAAAAATAGTTTACCTTTTACATTTTTATCCTGCATGTGCATTTCTTACCTACTTTTCTCTACATTTTTGTGATTTCTTCTATTAGAAGGGCACAGGAGCACAGACTTTGGATTGCTACCGCATTCATCTATTTCTTTTAAAGACAAGAACTGGAATCATACTCCTTTAAGAATAATAGGTGTGCCCCTACCCACATCCTAGGAAATCCACTTCACTTCTTCCAACTTGTAATAAAACAACGATTTATGAATATTGTCTCCTTTTTCGGTAGACACCTCTTTTCCCTGCTAAGGGTTGCTTGAAGACAGATCAATGTTCCAATTTAATTAAAGTGAACCCCCAAGGCCCAGCCCCAGCTTTTTTTTTTTTCATTTTTATTTTCAGAAGTATCGAGTTCACAAGAAAGTGATTCTTTCAAAAATGGTACGTACGTTTCCAGGAAGAAATACCAGACGGAGTTCCGTATGCTTGCCTTCCACAGAGAGCTCACACTTCAAAATGTCCAGTGATCTCCGAAAACTGAGCAGACCAAGAGTGTCAGCTTAATTATTGACTAAATATCGATGACAATACTAACATTGACATGTGGACAGGAGGAGTAAGAGATGTGAAAAATACAAAGATGACACAGAAGCCTCGTTGACCCAGAACTAGACCCTTTCCCAACTGTGAACACCAGGCTGGAAAATCATAGATCATTCTTAGAGCAGTCATCACTTTTAAAGACAAAGTTTTGATATAAAGGAGAAAGAATCTCTGCTCTCTATGTTTAGTGGTTATTCAGGGGTTTTGACGTGAACTCTTTCAAGAGAGCCTCCCTTTTGTAATCACCAGGATTTGTGGTTTGCACAAATCTTTTCAAATCTTGTCATCGTCACACATACTTACACATTTAGATCTTTACACAGCTGTAAGTCATAAACAAAAACAACAGAACTTTTTTTTGGGGGGGGGAATAGTTCAAATTAGAGCACACTTCAAATGAAAACAATCAAATGCAAATGAAAAAGTTTAGTTCATGTATAAGAAAAAAGGTGAAGCCAACCAGGTGTGTTTTGCCTGGTTCTTTTTTGTATAAACAGATCGTTTTTTTTTGTATAAACAGATAACTGACTTTTAAACCCGCAGACCACAACATTTTAATTCAGTCATTGTCATTTGGAAAAAAAAAAAAAAGGATGAGGAAAAAGCCACAGACAAATTAGGACCAAAAGTAACCAATTAGGACAAAAAAAAGTAACCAAATTTAGCAATTTAAAAAATTGGCTTTTTTTTGGTAGATGAATTATCCTCATCCGTGATATACATTTAAGAATGAAACTTACATTAGCCCCTTAAAGTGGTCCTGCGACTTTAATTATTCACAAAGTACACAAATTTAATGAGTTTTTAAATATTAAAACTCTTCTCTATTGTCACTACGGTGAGCTCTTAATTTACAGAGCAATTAAGTCAGGACCCTCATTTATCAGGACATGTGCGTTTGTTGAAAATGTAGTCAGTTTTTATTCATTGATGCTATGGAAATACTGAGGTGAAATTAATGTGTGCCTTCAGAGGTCGTGCCGGTGGTGGTGGGGAGGTAGCAAGGAGCAATACGTGAGATAAATAAGTAACTGCTATTCCCCGATTTCTCTAGAGATTGCTGAAATATTAAGTGGCACAATGGTTATCGTTCTCAGCCAAAATGCTTGCAAGAAAATGCCCCCTGAGTTGTTCTCTGGCAAACATCTGTCATGGGTAGTAGCTGAGAAACAGGGAAACTTCAAAGCAGTACTTTCTGATGATTAGCAGAGTGTTGAGTGTAATGTTCTTACATTTTAATGCAAACCAAGTGTTGATGAGCTGAGAGGGTAGAATTAAAAAGTAACCCAAATCTCCTTTGTTCTTCAGGAGGGGACTGACAAGAACGTTTGCAGTCGGTAGTGTTCCTCAGTACTCATCAATTTGTGAGCCACAAGAAATTCTAGCTCTGGAGGCGGATGGTGGGAGTGAAGCGGACCAGCCGGCCATTCCCTGTTGCCTACCTGTGGTGGCTCTGCCCAGTCATCGGTGTCCACTGTTCAGCATGCATTCTTTATGGACAATCTTATTCAAGAAAATAGTTGCAAAAGAGCAAGACAAAATTCAAATGATGTACACTTGAACACTTGCCTACAGAGGTGACAGTTGCCCCAAAAAGTTTGCTGTAAAGTTTGGAGGAGGAAGACACTTCCTGTCTTGAAATATAAATATGAGTATCAAAAATATCTGAGCGATTTCGTCAATATTTCAGGCAGTTGTTGGAATGATTTGTACATGAAGAGCCTGAATTCTTTGCTGAACTGGTAATGGGTAGATACAGTCTAATACATCACTATTTTTGTAAAAACAGATTTGATAGTGCAGCAACCTTCGAGCATTCTTTAATCCTGGAACTCCACCATCCACCCTGAAAACATTGGAAAAGAATACACAACAAAAAACACACAACCTAAAACACACAACCTAACAAAAAAACTTCCTAATGTGTACAAATGAGAACACTATCTTCCTTACTGTAGTTTGATTTCTACCAAATTCTAATTTTAAGCCAGCAGACAAACAGGTTGTCCTATCTATTCCCTTAGGCTAAGGCTAAAGGGAGAAACAGGCATCTCATTTCTAACTCCTGGTACATTTGGACTTCGGGCCTCTAGAGCACCAAAAAGTTTGATGGGACCACGCCAAGGGGGTCCCCTGTAACCAGGAGTTGGTTAATATCCTCCCATCCCTCATTCAGACAGGGAACAGAGGCAAAAAAAAAAAAAAAATAGCAGGGCAACAAACGCTGCCTTCTGCAAATGCTCTGTAATAAATTGTTCTTTCAGTGGTGCAGAAGACGGATTTTTCTTTCCTTTGCCTCTTTCCTCCTTTGCGGGGAAGCACCAATGGGCGGCTTGCTTTCCCACCTGGCCCTGGCTGCCTGTGCCCATAAATTTGCCTATGCAATGCCTGTTTACGGGTCGCTGATGGAACATGGAGACGGTGCATTTTGTAAGCGCCGGGTAGATAATCATGGTAATTGATGTTTGGAGCTGTGAGCTCCTAGGAGCACAGGGTCTCTTTCTCCCAGTGAGGCCCTGCTCTCTGTTATCAGCCCAGCCCATAATTAAATATCACTCTTTTACAATATGTTTCAGGCTCCTTAATGAGTCTAAAGCAGAAATAGTCACCTCTTTCCCCTCGGAGCTTTATTTGCTTGTTATTAAACAATGTTATTGAGCTGCCTTCTTTCCCTGTGTTGCCAAACCTGCATCATTTCCGTTTTATAATTGCACAATTAGAGCGAAGGCTTTGCTTCCATACATCAGCAGGCCCTGCGTGTGCCTGCGTGTGTGTCTCCGTGTGGAGAGGAGGAAAGGGAGAGAGCACGGAAAAATTAGGTGTTCGTATAGACTACTCAAATGCGTCTTATTTTCATTAACTGCCAGATTTTGCAAAATGGGAAGCGATTTATCATGAGCCATTTTCTTCTATCAACCACCTCCACCAACCAACACCATGACTTTCGCGGTGACCTTGTGCTGTGTAGCGGAGGGTCCAATTTGCTCATTGTTCCTGGCTTGCATAATCCTATGCCCCTCCCCCACAGCCTTTTTTTCCCCCAAGCAAAATCCAGTCATTTATATTCCGAGGCTAAACGGTATTCTTTTTGCCCCCAAAGCTGGCAAGCTGTATAACACTAGTAATTCCATCTAACGAATTTCCAGGGAGCTCCTCCTCTTACACACGCACTCTCTCTCTCTCTCTCTCTCTCTCACACACACACACACACTCCTCCACGCACACACTCACATGCACCCCCCTAAGCTGCTCTAAGCAGTGTATTAAGTAGCTGAAGAAAATCCATTCACATTCTGCTGTGTCGCTTTCTTCTCAAGTCATGAACCCATCACAGACTTTTTCTAGCTGTAGGTTGCCACGGTGAAGATTTACAATGCCAGTTATTCATACATCTGCCTTCTCTCTTTCCCCCCCCTTATTCTTAAATCCCTTGGGCGAGGGCAACCTTGATACTGAGACTCGTAAAATTCATGCAGGCTTATCATCCTTGGTGAGGGCTCCAGGCGTGCGCCCGCATCCCCGCCAGCTCCCCGCCATGACGCGTGGGTGGGCCTGGGCTGAGGCTTTTCTTTCTAACTCCGAGGAGGGGTTGGGGGAAACAGTGCCATGGGAAGAAACAGAATAGAAAACTTCCATAAATATGAAACAAAAGCAGTATTTGTTTCACTAAGCATTTATTAATTTTTTTTCAATTACTTTTGGGTCTCTGGAGGCCACTGTTTCTTTGAGGCCGGAATGTGAAATAAAACGTGACCTTAGTTTGGGTAAAACAATATTAGAAAGTCCACTCCTCAATGTTCAAGACCTCATAGAGCAGCAACATATACTTCCTTCTCATGGTATGTCCAAGAATCTATGGGAGGAGGCCTCAATACCTTTTAAAATGTGCAGTTGATGGTTACTGTGTGTTTTTTGCTGTTTTTTTTTCACTTATTTCTTCTCTTAATTATTAGGAAGTTCATTATTCTTAAAGAACATGAAGAGGGAAAAATAAATATTTTCAACAGCAAACATTAATATTTTAATGAAGTCATTGAAATTTTCCCCAGTCTGAAAATGAGATTAATGTTATGGTAACATAATAGAGAACTATGTTTTAATCATAACCAAAAAAAAAAAAAAGACTTTAAACATATTGTAAGAAAATAATTGAGATCTTGGCAAGATATCATCTGGAAGACTTTTCTAAAACTCTATGAAATTGTTTTTAGGTGGATTGAAATACAGTTCTGTTTCAGAATTGTGGAGGGTTTTTTTTAATCTTATTTTTTCATCCATTAATTTCAATATTATAAAATACGGTTTCCTTGGTATTCTTGAATTTCTCACGTTTGCTTGGTGCCACATGTCCAGGGAGTCGCCGTTGCGGGTTCCCTTCAAGGGGCAAGTGCCCACTGCCAAGAGGCCCCAGAGGCCAGGCAGGCCATGCTGCATTAAGCAAACGGTCTGGGCAGCCAGAGGACTGACTTCTTGAGGAAGAAGTCAGGGCAGCCCTGTATGGCTGGTGGCAATGCTAATCCAAGAGCCATACTCTTAATGTAGTTGGAGGCTTTGTCAGGTGCCCCACAGACTGCCTTTCAGATAGTGTTCAACTTTGAGACAGGCTGTGGATGTCTACCCTTCTTCAATGAGTATAAGTAAGTGTCAGGAAAAAGAAAGCCAAGCCCATGCGGGGGCCCTGACTTCTACTCACCTGTGTGTGAACTGGAGCCTGTGACCTCTTACGCCTCAATTTCCTCCTCTAAAACCAGGAGAGTGTGCTGTCGTATCTGTAAGGATCCTTTCATGTCTTACATAATCCAATCACAAATCAATTAAATATAGCCAATAACTAGTTTAATCTAAAATTTCTCTTCTCCCAGCTCAATACACAGAAGTTTCCCCAGGGTGTAGTTGGAGCATGATCCTCAATTCCCTGTGCGCTGGGCTCTGCCTTAGCTCTTCAGATCCCTAGGGAACCATTTAGGAAGTTGCCACAGTGAGCATCAAGGTGTTCTGTTGGCTGAGAACATCAAGAAACCCAAGGTTTTGATCCAACTTCCACAGAAAACTTGGAAAGAATCACATGTAGCATTTGTTGTACTCTCTGAGATTATGTTCCTGGAAGCAGGATAAAATGAGAGCAACACAATAAAAGAAGTTCTGTTGTACTTTATTTTTGCTTTTTATTTTTTTTCCCTTCTGGCCTAACCTCTCTTCCTTTAGGTGGAAATTTCTTCTTCCAAATGACCTCCTGGTCCACTCCTCTCCTCACAGCTCATGGGCACCATCGGCCCCCCATCTCAGGGGCATGAGCAGGTGGATCTGGCTTCCTTCATTAGCCCTGATACACCTTTGAACACTGTCACCTAGAGCGTTTTACTGCCTTGTAGCCCCACCTCTTAAAAAACCCTCCAACCTGGCGTTGGCTCACGCCTGTAATCCCAGCACTTTGGGAGGCCGAGGCGGGCGGATCACGACGTCAGGAGTCCGAGACCAGCCTGGCCAACATGGTGAAATCCCATCTCTACTAAAAATACAAAAATAAGCAGGGCATGGTGGTGCGTGCCTGTCATCCCAGCTACTCAGGAGGCTGAGGCAGGAGAATTGCTTGAATCCGGGAGGCGGAGGTTGCAGTGAGCTGAGATCATGCCACTGTACTCCAGCCTGGGTGACAGAGCATGACTCTGTCTAAAAAAAAAAAAAAAAAACTGACCTACTTCTTTATCCAGGGAATATGATTGATATTTCAGTTAAACTTTCAAAATAACTATGGCTGCTCACCAATAAAGCATTGACTTTTATAGTGTACAATTCCATCCACCTTTCTTTTTACCTGGATCCTAAAGCTGGTATGGAAACCTGTCAGCAAACCATTGTACCCAACTGAGATGCTTTTCCTTATGCGACTACCAAGTAAAGGTAATAATCCCAATCAACTTTTCCAGATTCTGAGGGTCAAGTATGATAATATGTGAATACTTCTAAATATTCTGGAATATACTATGTTGATATATTATTAGTAGTAGTGGTATTAATCTATTGAGGACTATGATGATAAACAGGATGGCTTTCAAATATTTTTGGCCATGACCTACAGGAAGAAATGCATTTTATATATATTCCAGGACACATCTGTGTAATCATAGCCCACACAAAAGTTTCAAACAACAATATACCTTTGCTATCTGTGAAGCATTCTGATATTTTCTATCCTATAGATAGATAAACATTTTCACACCTCCATGGGTCCTAGCCTACAGTTTGAAATGCATGGATGTGAAGTGCCGTGTTAGTCTGGCAGAGACCATCTTGAGCCTATATCTATATGGAGCCTTTGTGTGAATTAGGAAAGGGCCTACAGACCTTCGTCCCGGGCCAGAGCCTACAGCTTGGGAAGTGGAATTGGGCAGGATGTCAACTCCTCCCTGCCCCCTCAGCTGGAAGCTCTTATAGAGTCTTCCACCTACACAGCACTGCATGGAAAACCAGTCAATATTGAAGGCTGGGGGAGGGGAATGAGCTGAGGTATCTAAAGGCATTATGTGAGATTGTGAAATAGATGTTGGTGTAACATGAATTGTGTAAGGTGTTTCCAAATCTGCCTGTAAACAGGTCAGATGCAGCCCATGATGCTAGGATGGTCTGGAAAAAAAAAAGGGAGCAAAGATTAACATGATTTTGGTTAATTTTAAAGCACTGTGAAAAACTAAATGAAAAACAAAAAAGAGAGCAATGGAACAGGATTTATCAAAAACCTGCCTTCGTGTCCATTGCGTAGTTCTGTGAGTTAACAACGATGACTTGAAGAATATCATATTTCTCCCCCTGCTGCAAATTCTACAAACCATTCTTATCCATCCCCAAACACCCACCTTGGTCGTAAGTTGCAATATCTAATAAGCAGGAATGTAAGCTGGGAGAAGATCTGTGGAAGTTTTTCCTCCTAGAAGCATCCTATCTCAATTGTCATTATTCCCGTTATCCACTAAGGTATGATCAGCAAAAGGCAACATTAGAGCACTTCAGAGCTTCCCAGAAGATATCCCTCACTGGGCAATTCATTGGTCAATCCATGGGCCTATAAGGACACAGTACTCTACTAGACTAACAACGTTGAAAATAAGTTTATTCTTCTTCAACTTCATGCCAAAGTTCACCAATTAGAACTGCCAGGAAACAAACAACAAAAAAAAAGATAATTAAAGACAAGCAGGTCCTGTCCACTGTTTCAACCTTCAGAGTTTACATCTTCAGTTTGTAGTCCACCTTTTCCATTTGAATGCAATATTCTCCATGCTCTTGACCTTCTAGGTAACATACTGCATTGAATCATCTTCATTAACGTAATATAGGTTAATATAGCAAAATAGGCCAGGCGCTGTGGCTCATGCCTGTAATCCCAGCACTTTGGGAGGCCGAGGTGGGTGGATCACCTGAGGTCAGGAGCTCAAGACCAGCCTGACCAACATGAAGAAACCCCATCTCTACTAAAAATACAAAATTAACCAGGCGTGGTGGCTCGTGCCTGTAATCCCAGCTACTCGGGAGGCTGAGGCAGGAGAATCGCTTGAACCAGGGAGGTAGAGGTTGTGGTAAGTTGAGATCGCACCATTGCACTCCAGCCTGGGCAACAAGAGTGAAACTCTGTCTCAAAAAAAAAAAAAAAAAAAAAAATATATATATATATATACACACACACACACACACACACACACTATATATATATACACACACTATATATATACTATATACATATATAGTATATATAGACTATATACATATATATAGTCTATATATACTATATACACTATATACATATATAATCTATATATACTATATACACTATATACATACCATATATAGTATATATACTATATACACTATATACATACTATATATAGTATATATACTATATACACTATATACATACTATATATAGTATGTATAGAGTATATATATACTCTATACATACTATATATAGTATGTATATACTATATATACTGTATATATATGGCAAAATAATGAAGAATAGTTTGCTATATATGAAGCAAAATAATGAGGAATATATACGTATATATATAGAAGAATATATATACGTGTATATGTATATATATATATAGCAAAATAATGAAGAAGCAGGTATCTTTCCTGTTTTTTCTAATACCTCCTCCTCTCAAACACACACACACACCACAATGGTGGCCATTTTTAGAATAAAGAGATGATTTTGAACAGGAAGAACAATATTTTATTCCAAAATATTATGTAAATACGTAATGTATTGATATGATCCATTCCTTTCTTTTTCTCCATGTTTTTGTTTTAATCTCTGTTTTAAAAACTTACACTAAATATTGTTCTTTAAAATATAGTAAATACTTTGATATGTCTTATGATTTAAAGAATTGACAAATTAACTGCTGAATCACTTTCTGTATTCTTCATATGAGACATGCCTTTCTGGTGATACGATTTGGTGACATTAACAGCTAAGGGTAATTGTCAGTAGGACAAGAGACTTACTCCTCATTTCAGGCACACAGACAAGGAACTTTGTCCCATTGTTCCTTTCTGACTTGTATGGGAAAACAACAGTCTCAACACCATAAAATTACCCACAGGAAATGAAGGCATAGGCCCTTGGAGAAATCACACCTTATTATCTGCTTTATCTTTTCTCTTTTGTGCTATATTGTTACCTTAAAAGTCATGACTGTCAAAAATATTTTTTCCATTCTGTTCCCCAGTCTTTTAACACTTATCTTAAGACAGCTGGTGGTGTGGGAAGACAGCAAGCATCTCTCTTATGGGGATGAAGCCTGCCTGCAGTGCTTGCTCAATCCTTGGTCGTAGAAGACCTAGACCAACTTCAGCACAGAGCAGTCAGACAGTGTGCTCCACTTGGTCTCATCAGACTTTTACCTGTTTTCCAGACTTTTACCCAGAATAGCATCTTAGGGACCAGAGGTTTTCCACATTGCCACTGGATAGGAGGTAAGGATCGCCATCATCTTTTCTCTTCTCACAAACAACCTCCTCTACCTGACTCTCCCATTTGCCTTTATGTTTCTCTTGCCCAATCCCCAAATCTCTTTATCTTCAAGGGGGTCTTTCTTTCCTGTTTCCTTTATGAAATTTTAGGGAGAGGAAAGAAAGCATATTTGTTTGGTCCCAGGTAGATGGAGATCCGTCAGTAGAGATGTTGATGGCTGGGTTTCCATATTTGAATGTGCCTTAAAGAACTTAGGCCTGACTGCGAAGATGGGGTATCCACCCTGAGTGACATAGCCCAGAGTCTCTGGACAATGACGCCACTTGCAGTGGGTGAGGGAGGAAATAGCTGCAGCAAACATTTCAGTTCATGGGGTTATAGTCATATTGAAGCAAGACTCATTTCTACCAGCACTGTCATATTCTGGGGCAGATTCCAGCCACCTCCCTTGAAAAGGGGATTGCCATAGGTAACAAAAACTCCACCAAATGTATGCAAGCAGGACTTCCCTGAGGAATTGTACATGGTGCTCTGAGAGTGCATGATAGCACATGACTTTCTCCCGTGCTTATCAAGCTGCACTCTTCCCATTTGCGCCTCCACATTCATGGTCTACTCTTCATACCCAGATTTTAGCTCCTTGTTGCTTTGACCCTCTTGTGTGAACTGCTTATTTGTTGATGCCCAGAATTTTCATTGGGCCAAACCTTTTGGATGTCAGTTTCTTAACCAGGATTATGATTTGCAGACATCAGGGACTCTGGATGGCTTTTCTTTGCCAACCTCCCCAAGTCTTCCCTGGAGCACCCTTCTTCCTTATGCGTTTTCTGACTTTAACACTCAGGTCCCTCCTCTGGGATGCTCCAATTCCTCCCTTTTCTCTGTTCTCATAGCCCCATAGGTGCAACTCTACTTTTACTCGTATTACCTTATGTTGTAGTGACTTGCTGAAGTGATGGTCTATCTTACAAACCATGAGCAATCTAAAAATAGGGAAAATTGGAAGTGCCACTTTTAGTTCAGGACATATAGAAAAGGCTATCAATTATATGAATCCAATATATGTTTGCTGAGTAAATGAGTGAAAACTAGATTTCCTCATCTATGGACTTTATGTAACTAGGAGTTTCCCTGAAATATTCACATAGCTCCATATCTAATTGGCCAAACACTCGAAAATAAAAATTGGCTTAAGTGACATCTATCATTTTGGCTAATTTTAGGAAATACTCTTTAAAGTGGATATATGAGTGTGTTATAGATATTGATTCCAAATTGTGTTTCTTGGCTCGCTACTGATTGTTAATGTAACCTTGGTCATTGTATTCATTTAGAATTTAACTCAATAGCTGTCTATTAAATGGCTGTGCTATATATTTCAATGAACAAATGCATGTGAAAATCCCATTTACTTGTTTACTGCCTACAAGATGGCTTTCTAGAAGAATTAATTGATATATTAGTGTAAGATATAAATTAGATAATAAAATTTATATATTTTAAATTTTTGATTATTATAAATATTTGATCTGCATAAGCTTTTTTGTTGTTGGAAATAAAACAAATGAGCTCCTTCTTTTTTTTTCCTTGAGACGAATCTCGCTCCATCGCCCAGGCTGGAGTGCAGTGGTGCCATCTCTGCTCACTGCAACCTCCACCTCCCGGGTTCAAGCAGTTCTCTGCCTCAGCCTCCCAAGTGGCTGGGATTACAGGCGCCTGCCACCATGCCTGGCTAAGTTTTTTGTATTTTTAGTAGAGACGGGGGTTTCACCATCTTGGCCAGGCTGGTCTTGAACTCCTGACCTCGTGACCCACCTGCCTCGGCCTCCCAAAGTGCTGGGATTACAGGCGTGAGCCACCAAACCCGGCCACAAATGGGCTCCTTCTGATGCATGGTGTTAACTGAATTCCTAGGGAAGACTTTGAGGAAACTTGTTTTCGTGGTTGGAGAAATAACATTAAGATAAAATATTCTTCCAATTTTGTAACCCTTTTTGGTTTTTATAATAGAAAACTTCCCCTGTGTCCTCTTTATCCGTGTGACTAGACTAGTGGTGTCCTTGGCCAATGCAGGTGATACTGTAGCCTTGCAACCAGGAGGCATGTGTGATGAATTCCTTGTTTTGGAGGGAATCAGTTTCTCACTGGGTGCTACTCTGCCTAAGGGCAGGTATTACTAGAATCATAGCTGTCAGTCATGGCCATGGTCCAAAACTTTCTAGGTGAGGTGGCTGGAAAAGGCTACCATTGTGAAACTAGCATTGTTCTTTACTAGCATTGCCCCTCATACCAAGAACCTTGAAATGAATATTTCAAAGTACTCTTTGCAGATTCTGTGAGAATCCTAAGTCTTTTGTGTTTACTCTACTTTCCATATTCTTGATTGGGGCAGTACTAATATTTTTCCTGTGGTCTTGCTTGAGATCATCCTTTTGTGCAATAAAAATAATAATATTTTGAATTTAACTCAATAGCTGTCTGTTAAGTGGCTGTGCTATATATTTCAATGAACAAATGCATGTGAAAATCCCATTTACTTGTTTACTGCCTACAAGATGGCTTTCTAGAAGAATTAATTGATAAGTTAGTGTAAGATATCAATTAGATAATAAAATTTATATATTTTAAATTTTTGATTATTATAAATATTTGATCTGCATAAGCTTTTTTGTTGTTGGAAATAAAACAAATGGATTCCTGATGCATGAAGGAGTATTTTCACCAATTACCTTCTTTTAAAAAGTTATGTAGTTTCACACCTCCTTATTACCTTAGATTTTTGTGTGTAATTCACACTTTATGTATATCCTTCCTGGATTAGAATTTTCAGGTGGAGGATGAGGTGCCCTGAAGTGGGGGGACTTACCCAAGGGTGACACCAACTGTGCATGTAAGAGCAGAGCCTGCAGGGTTTTGATTCTTAGCCCAGTATTTTGCCCCAAATCATTTCTAGTTCATTCCCTGTTTTATTTGTTTATTGCTTAATTCTTATAGAACATGGACAGAGGCTAAGCAGTTCACATCAGCTCACTCAAAGAAGAGATAAAATCGAGTTCTTTCCTTCCTTCTACTTTTTCCCCCAGGTTCTTATATTCTAAAATAGCTAGCTTTAGCAACATGCACTGTCTTTTTCCCAAGGCACATTACTCCTTCGCAAGTGTAAGTTTTAAAAATAGTTTTGCTAAGAAAGATGGATCAGATATGCCATTTGTAAATTAAGAAACTGAGGCAGAGAGTGACTAAGCAATTCGTTCAGGGACATCAGTGACTAAGCACAAGCTCACTTGGACTTTGGAACTTAATTTATTCCAGAGAAGGGCCAAGTTCCAGACTATGCAACTTACACATGAAAAGGCAACCCAAACAAGACTACTTTCCTGAATTTTAAATAGAAATCTTAAATTGCTTGCAAGTAAGCACAAAATTCCAAGTTTTACTGTGCAAAATCCTACAGTATAGGCACACAGATGGACAAATAAAGGGGAAAATGATGAATAGAATGAAAATTTAAAACTCACCTTTTTTTAAACAGTATTAAAATTACATTGTAGGATGCTTTGTGCATATTGGGAGCTAATAAATTTTTTTTGTACTTGTGCACACATTTCTGCATTACCAATACGTAATCAAGGTATAATGAAATATGAATATTCCCCTTTTATGTATTTTAAGTTCAATCATAATTTTCTTTAGTTGTCTGGCTCATCCATGATTCTTAGCAAATGTTACCTAAACAACAGAGATCTGAACAAACCAATCGTAATGAGAGTCGACCTTTGTGTCTTACATTAGAGTGCTTCAAATATGTTGCTGTATGGTATATTTGATCAAGATATGTACACTGTACTACATTTTACATTCCACAGTTTTCAGTTGCCAAGCCAAAATATGGGCAACATTCGAACAGGACAGAACACCTGGATGGGACTCCAAGAAGTGGCCCCAGAGAGTTAAATCCCAGTGACTGCTAGTAGGTGAAAGCAGACAAACACCAAGAAGCCGGTGGTAAGAAACAACAAAGGTCCACAAACCACAGGCTCACCAAGGTGAGCAGAGAGGAATACAGGATGAAAGAGGAAGACCCTCCACACAAAACAAGTCTGACTTTAGGCCAAATACTGTTGCCCTGCAGCCTTTTTCTCTACTCCCTGACAGGGAAGGGTCCTGTGATCATGGTGGCGTGTCCTGGCCTAGCAGGTATAATATAAAAAGGCTTTGAAGCTGGACACAGTATCCTAACTACAGCTGCAGGTGAAATCTACCCTGGAGATGACAGATTTTAGTAAAGCACTTATATCCAGTCACTAGAACCAACCACATACTAGTGTTTCTTCCTAGTTTTCTGAAGATAGGGGTCACATTGTTTCTTGGTTTTTATATTGAACTCCACCTGCATGTAAGTATGTTTGTTACGTCTTACAAATCCAAAGGAAAAAAAACTTTGAATGTTGAAGTAAACACTAAGAAAGTGAAAAGTTTCAAGGATTCTTTAAGTTGGAAACATTACCACAAGAAAATACCCCCCAAATAGCTGTTATTATTTACATACAAAGTAACCTTCCGACCTCCATTGCTAACCTCCTTAGGCTTGACTTTACATGATCCCAGATTCTGAGTTAGTTTATAAATTTTATATCATCACTGAGAAAAGAAAAAAATTGTGAAAAATAGAAAATAAGTAGTATGAAAAGACAAATATTCCACAAAACATTGTATAGAAAGAAACATAACTTAAAACCGGGTGACTATTTAAAACGAATATGAATGAAAATTCTAAGTTTGTATGTTTGTGTGTTCTATTTATATACCTACTTTCCCTCAAAGTAAGGGAAGAAATGAAAGATGTTTTTAACAGCAACCTATCTATAAATTCAAAAGTCTCAGGGTTTAACAGAACTTCATACTATTATGTCTTGGGAAGAACTAAATATATTTATAGGTAAACTTCCCAAAACAAATTATTCCAGGCAATATTAGAAATGAAAAGATCTTTTACCACGAATTGTTTTTCCAGAAAGATATGAATGAATTAACACCAGAAGCTTGAAATGATAATTTTATGTTAATCATCTTCTACATTTCAGAACACTTCAATACTTTTGTGCTTTGGGTATGTGCTCTTGTGTGTGTGTGAGTGTGTGTGTGTGCATTCCTCTGGGTGTGTCTGTGTGTGTGTGTGTGTACACATATAGATGTTAATTATGGATCTGCTTTTCATATACAGGCTGGGTTCATCTTAGCAAATTCCAAACGAAGAAATAAATGTCCTTGATATTCCATTTAATAGACAGTGGGTGGCACCATCTTAAGGAGCAGATGATGTAAGGGTGCATTTGGCACTATTTTCTTTATTTAGGCTACAAACTCTATCCAAATTGTGAAGGACTTTCCACATTAGTAATTAATAGGGCCCCATTATGCTAACTATCATCCAACTTAGGACATCTTAGAGGAAAGATAAGAGATGAATAATTTGAAGTAATTTTCTTGTAATCATGCCAATCACTTGAGCAAAGTAGTTATTAAAGGAAACAGTATTATGATGAATTATAGGACATCTAACACTGTATACCTTTTCTTATCAGCTGCTTAGAGCTTCTGATTCTTAAAAAAAAAAGGCAAACAAGTAGAAGTCTATTCCGAATAACACTCTTCTTACTGTAAATAATAGTTTGTTTAGCAAACCATGAATTTTAATGAGGCTCGAAAGACAGACTTTACCTTATTTCTGTTCATCTCCTTGAAAAGAGCTGAAGTTTGTCAGCTTTACCTTCCCTTAGAAGGTAGATGTAACAAGCGTGAGTCACCTTTGATGACAAGGGATTCTTCCAGTTCAGATTTGCTGAAGTGATTAGACATTATTTATCTAATTAAATGTTCAAAACACATCATTATTGAAAGGAATAAATTTAGTACATTTGTTGAGCAGTGTTAACTGAAATGTAACTGCACATCATTTGACTTTTTAACATTTTATTATATCTATTAAGTCTTTCTTGCTTAATTAAATCAACTTATTTTTTACAGTTAATTTAACGTGATTTCATTTTCGTTACAGATTCTTAATCAGATATTATAGAGAAAGCCAACTGTATACACGAATTAAGCTTCGTCTCCTCAGGTGCTCTCTTGCATTTCATTCAAGTCTGGCATCTTCTGGGGATCACCATGGTTTGAAATGGTTGTTATTTTTCACACAGTAGAAAGCTTACTCTTCATCTTTATTATTATTTTTCAAAATGCAACCATTTTTAAGGCTACAGCGTCATCTGATTTGTACTATTTGGATCCTAGATCACAGCCAGTATTTGGAAGAAACTGTGTTTTTAACGCTCGGAGAAAAAGTAAATAAGAATGTGAAAGTAGGAGCATTCGTTGCTTTGCCCGGGAGCTGTACTTTATTAATTATCCCTATAGGAACAATGGTGTCGAAATAATAACGCTACAGTTCCCGAGAAGGAGCAAAGTATTTGAGTAGCAATAACCACAGGGTGGGCTCCATGGAAGAAGTTATTTCATTATGATTATTATATTCAAATGAGTGTGTCTCAGTGATCAAGAGTTAGCAGTATTCTTTTCTTCACAAGAACCCCAAACTATAAAATGGGGTTGGGGGAGGAGCAGGGTTGAAGCCACAAATGTTTGGTGCCAATCAACTGCAATGAATTGTGAGATGCCAGGATGAAGGCAGCGATTTGGTACATTCAAATCTACCCTGAAAAGTGTTAAAATGGAGAGCGTGGCTGGAAACAAATGGGAAAGGAAGATTCAAAGGTTGCAAGTGGTGGTGGTGGAAAATTCTAATTAGACATTTACGTCAGCTTGCAAAGCTCCTTATTTTCCCCAAATGTTGGAGTGTTTCATGTTCTGTCAGATTTCCATTGAAAGTACTAAAAGGGAAGTTTTCTGAAAGTGTCCTCGAACTATCAGGATAGTGTTAAAAAGGTGGTAACAAAGGCATTTGCTCAAGCTTCCCCATCCCACACCACAGAATAAAATGAAACAAAAAAGACATAAAAAAGAAAAAGAAAGTGAATTTATGTGTGCCTGTGCATCCTCTCCAGCTCCTCCAGGGGCCTGTGAGGTTGATAAGAAACGCCTCACTCCTTTCGCTCGAGGTGCCCATTTCTGGCTACTCTGTGACCACTTGCACTGGCTTTGATTCCCTGGGGTAAGTGTTCATGATCGCAAATTTGGCCAAAAGATTTTTTCATTACCCTCCAACATTTCCTTTCACCTCCAACCTCCAGGCAGGGCCCTGGCTTTCCCTTTGGAGCCGGGAATATAAAGACGTGGGGCCATCGGGCTGACCCCGAGGGCCTTCTGTCAATCATGGCCTCGCCATCTCTGCTCCCTTTCACACCAGGCAGCTGGACCCATCGCTGTCAACCAGGTAACAACCCCCAGACAATAGCGGCCTGAAAGCCTGGTCTAGACACTCTTTTAGCCACTTATTTGCTGCTCTTGGCAGCTGTTGAAGCATAAATAAGCAGTTTGTAATCAGAAAGCTGACATCATCGCAGCTCGGCTGAGAGGGGAGATTGTTCCTGAGCACTGAGCGGGGTTTTTTGTGTGTGTGTGACAACAGATTCTGGGGTGGGGATGCAGATTTGTGCCATGCTAAGCTGGTCTTTCTTTGATTTACAGAAGACAATTGGATCAGGTCCCCGGCTCCAAGGCGCACCAGAATTATATTTTTTTTGTTCAATTCCTGATGGGCAGTAAAATTGAATAATAAATTGGGTGGAAATATGTTGTGGGCTGGGCCTGGGTGAGAGGACAGTAGGGTGGGTGGGAAGTTTGGACGTGAGGCATTTTCCAGGCCGGGGGATGTACATCTCATCAGCCCCTTGAAAGTGGTTCTGTCGCGTGGTTTGGGTGGGAGACACCGAGGAGAGGTTTGGTATTGGATGTATAGGTCTGCATGCTTTGAAAAATGAGTAGTTTCACAAAAGGCAGCAGAGAAGCGGGTGTGTTTATTCCTGCTTTCCAAGTGTGCATGTGTGTGTGTGTGTGTGTCAAGATCAAGTTTGCCATTCAAAGTGATTGGCAGTTATCCTCTTGAAAGGCAGTAGACATGAGCCATTTGCCAGAAACATTGACTCCATCACCTCTACAGCTGACTAGAACCTCTCGTAGGTGTTTTCTTCCCCAAGACTGACTTTGTTATTGGAAGGAACAGAGATGGCAGACGTTATTTATTTATCATAATTGATTTCTTATCATTGTTTTGGGGATATTCCCCAAGGAGAGAAAGCTTCTCTGGTTCCTTTTAACAGTGTGGTTCTGATTGCCCTGATGTCTGCCCACGACATCTGACTCAACATCTATTAGTACCTAGCAGCTGTATACACGCCAAGATGCCACAGAGCTTGCTACCTGAAAAGCCCATTCAGGTGGTTTTGCCCATCTCCAATTTCACTTACGAAAAAAAAAAAGTCCAGTTCCACAAAAATATTGACTTCCTATCTCCCTGAGGGTTTCTGGTATTAGTTTGCTCTAAGTAGCTCATGATTTAGAGTACAAAGGCATTTCCAGAGTGCATGTTTAACAAAATGACATAGCAGATAATTGAAATTTATTTGCAATTTTCAAACTACAATAAACACAATTCTCCTTTTCTTTCATTAATAATCGCACGGCTAATGCATAGCAATCCCTCTGCAGCTTTTACAAGCAAACTTGAGCTGCTGTGTTGTAATAGCTGGAAAAGTTAATGTAGCTTGAACAAGGTTTCTAATTGTCCCTGTCTCTGTCATATTTGTCTACTTGAATGGTCCTAAATACCACAGCGATTAATTACTGCAGAGCAGGTATTACAAGATGTTATCATCCTTCCCCAACTGTCTGGGTGAATGGAGAGAAGCGGGAGATTGTTACAGTGTTTCATCTTTGCTCTTCCTGTAAGGCACTTTAACCAGAAGATTTAACGTGTCAAAGTTAACTGCGTTCTCTAGCAGATATTCACATTCTAATTAAAGATTAAGAACGTAGTACATTACACTGTGATTTGTCATACATGGCTTGTTAAATAGGAAACCTACCGGGATTCCCTAACATTTTATAAACATTATTCAGGGCTTTTAATGTGGGCAAAGCGAAAGATTATTCAACTGCATTGCTGTATGGAAAGCAGGTTGCCCTCTGCTCCCCACTCCCCCCACCCCCGCCAACCCCCAGTAAATAATAAAATAAGACAACTTGGGCAGTTTGGAAACTGTTTTGTTGTGGAGATTTTGTTCAAGCCATGGATCACCTCTGGTTCGTGTTTGGTGGTGGAGGGAAGATCTTAATTACTAACCCTACGCATTTCTCTTTTTTTCTTTCTTTCTTTTTTTTTTTTTTTCTGGTTTTGCTTTTGGCTGTCAGCTAAGTAGAGGAAGGTAAGAGTCTTTGTTTGAATTAGAGTGCCAAAAGACGGAATAAAGATGAAACAGTGTTTCAGTATGCAGCCTGAGCTTTCAGCTGATTCTCGTAGCCCTGATCCTACCATATCCAGTACTAGTGGCACAGGACCGCTTCACATTCTATGATTGCCTGAGGAATAAATTAATGAGGTTACTGAGACACTGAACATTTGCATATTCACGGATGCTTATTAGGTAGAAAGTGAAAGCCAGGTGCACTGAATTTGGGGGATAGAGAATTTGTTAAGAAGTCACATCTTTCCGTCCTCCAGAAAAGGGGTGTCCTGTCACTAAAAATAATAGGCAGGCAAAACTCCTGCTTAGTGAATATCTGAACAATTATGATATAATGGAAAGATAAGGCAAAAGAGGGTCTTGCTTGAAAGCAACAGAGAAACCAAGGCACTGCCCTTGTTATAAGGAGACCTGGACGTGGTGGTTCTGGAGCATAAAGGAGGCACATGTTATTTGCTGTCTTTGGATTTTATGCTTTAATTATGCTGGTGGTGTACACAGCTGAACATGATGCCTTTGTACCTAATGCAAAATTACCAATTTAAGAAGACCTTTACATTTGTAAATATTATTATTGACAGGCCACCCATCCAAACTGGAACGGGGAAAAGCTTTTCTAAGAAAATGGTGTCGAAACCTGAATCACAGAATTAGGCTTGACTGTCTCTCTAAGGGACATCAGTACATGGTTCTGCTGTTGGTGATTTCTGCTGGGGCTGTGTGTGGAAGCACATTGTTTGAGCTATTTGTATCTCATTATTGTGAGAAGTTTTTATGCTGCTCTGGGTCATGGCTTGGAGACTGCCTCCTCAGAGCTTAAATGGGCAGATTTCATATTCTTCCCATCCTTGGGAATACTTCATAAAACAGAATTACAAGAGTCCATGTTTTTTTCGGAGCACCGTGCAGTGGGAGAGCCTGTCTTGCCTTTTTTTTTTTTTTTTTTTTTTGCTGTCGTTTTATACAGGTATTTTTTTTTCTTTCTATTTCTTTTTTCTTTTACTTTTTATTTCCTCTTTAAAGAAAATGATTGGCAGCACTCAACCTCAAGGAACTGATCTATCAAAACCAAGCTGGGATAAGTATTTCTTTGAGAAATAATATATATTTACCAACAGGCTCTATTCTGCCCCCTTGTTTCACAGCACCTTGAATATCACTTCCTTTTCCTGCCCAAAGCAGGAGGTAACCCTGTATTAAAAGCATAGTAGGTGTGTGTGTGTACAATACACACATACAGCACACATGTCTCTATTTAGAGATTCCATGATATGTGTTCTATATACACTTTACAGTCCCTTTTCTTAATGTCAAAAATATAATTTCCAGCGTCTAAAGAGTGTTTTCAAAGACTTTTGCCCTATTTTTTAAAATAGTGTCTAAATATGATTAAGTGTCTTCCCAGAGAAAAGTCAAAGAGGCTCCTAGTGTTAATTTCCATATTGCTTAAGACTTAAGCTTTTAATTTATTTTATCAAGGTTGAGGGAGTATAGTAATTGTTGGAACAACGCCCTTCCAAAAGAAATCGCCTGCACTTGTTTTTAAGTTCAATTTGTTTTCTCACACAGATTTTTGATACACTCTTAAATAAACTAGAAATCACAATTATTTTAATGTGGCAGAGTTGTAACCAGGAAATTGCATATATTTTCATAAACTAGGCTGTTATAGATTTATTAATATTTATTAATAACATTATTTTAAGAAATTTTTTTAACGTCTTTCAACCCTGAAAGGGCCTGCTTGAAACATACACGGCAGCAAAATCACTGGAGTCCAGGGTTTTTGTCACACACACACACAGCACAGATTTTTTTGATTATGTAGATTTCTTTTCCTACTGCAGTTTCATATGCAAAGCATGCATCAGCCACATCCATGCTATCTCCTAAAGCAGTCATTCTGAAACCCAATCTGGGGACAGTGCAGACTAAATAAAATTTCATTTTGATTTGGCCTCCCGCTGCGAATGGGACTGCTTTGTCTCAGCCGACAGAACCAGCAAGCCAGAAAGGTATGTCCTGTTTTGCATGGCTGATGGTGTGTCTTGCGGCTCACAATCAGGCCGCCTTGCTCCCGGCTCCTCCACTTCCTGCTTCTCTTTCTCTTTCCCCTTCCATTTGCTCCCGTGCTGCCTGCCTTCTACCTGCAGGGCACAGCCGTGGCAAACCCGCACCGATTGTTTACTTTGGCATATGCTTAATGGCGCGCGTGGCTGTTTGCTTTTTTTTTTTTTTTCACTGTCTTTGTTGGTGGTGGCTTTTCTTTTTTCTGTTTTGGTTTTTGTTTTGCTTAGCTTTCCTCGCCCACATTGGCTTTCCCTGTTTCTCAAGGTGTGGAATACTAAAATACTGACTGAAAGGAAAATTGTATAGGCGCTGCTGTGACGCTCCAGAGATTTTACTGGAAGATTTGTCATGCTGATTTTATTGTAAATTTGAAGATGCATTTAACAGCTTTGAAGGACCTTAGCTTCTGTGGCCCTTTGAGCCGCTTTGGCAGAAAAGCAATCGCCCATTTTAGAGAAGGGGGGGAAATAGAGAATAAAGACTCTCCTCCAATGGGACTGAACTGTTTTGCCATCTTAGTATGTTTTATAAAATGCATTGTGGTGTTTTCCTGAAGAGCTGCTAAATATGGCTCTGCTTTAAACAATGACCTTCATTGGGAGTCATCTCATGAGAGACTGGGTTGTGTCAAATGCTCTTCTTACACTTGTCCCACCTTTAGGAGAATGTACTAGCAATCAGGGACAACCTGCTGTGATGTTCTCAGAAGAAGCTTTAGATAAGATGGCGAAGCACCAGGGGACTGACAGTGGTGGGAGCTCAGTTTTCAAGCCCAAATTTCTCCTTGAAATTGTCATTGCCCTTGACCAATTCATAGGGTGCTATAAAGGAAAGAAGTTTTTTCCCTGGCTCACATATTGGCATATCATTAATCTAAATTAAATTACAGCAAACTGGTAAAAGTGGAGATAGAGTAAACGACAAATAAATTGCTTAAGAGAGGAGCAGAAAGGAAAGTTCACTCTGACTCTGGGGTTCTGCCTAAGTAATTCCACATAGGATATAGATTAAAAGATGAAAAGTACCAATTAGCTTCATAGGGACCTCACCCCACTCATCCAGAACAAAAACAAAATAAGTCACAACATGTAACTTTGTAGAGGGTCAAAAATTAACTTTTGTCAATCCATAATGTTGTAGCCATTCCAGAGTTTTGAGGGGAGTGGTGCTCCAGGGGTACTTCCAGATGCCATTTCTGAAATGTAATGGCTGAGGTCTTTGCCGTTACAATAAATTATCCTTTCACCACAAAATCTCTCAGTTCACTATTTTGCACCTGTTAGCTAAGCGCTTTGGGAGAGAAGAGTCACCAAGACCTTTAGTGATTTGTTGATAGACTCCCTACTTATTACATACAACAGATTGAAGAACAAAATGAAAGTTAGTTAAAGAAGACGTTGAAGAAACAATAGTGTGAAAACAGCACGAAATGTCATTTGGTAAATATGCCACAGCCTCACATAAGGAAGAGGAAAATGGCAGTGTGGGCCATGATTGGCAGGTCTGGATCCATAGACTGTGATTTCCAGGATCACCCAACAGTAAGTCTTTTTGCTGTAGCCTTACCATCAGGGCCACTTTCTTGTTTCATAGCTATTGATGATATTGAAAAGCCCAAATTTGCTTTTTGTGCAATTTGTCAGTGCTTTTATAGGATCCATGTGTTGGAATTTTAGGGACTTCTTTAGGTAACTAAGCGAATGTTTTAAGAAGTAAATTCTGCTATGCTGCTACACCGGCTGTCTTAAATACAATTATTTAGCAAGAATAAAGTACTTTTTAAGAAAATTCAAATGCAAACACTAGTTTTGGAACACAAGGTGCTCAAAGAAGATTTATTTATCAATAAAAAAGGTATAGGCATATATGCTTACAGTATGTGTGTGTATATGTGTATAAATATATACACATAGATCTAATACATCTAACATATTCATATACAGAGACTGAACCAATGATGCTGTTAAACAGTCACAAAGCTTATCTTGAAGATTAAAATCAATAAATATATCAACAAATATAGCTAGCAAAGTTCTAAACTATAGTTTGATTTATCATATCATACATGTAATACCATGTATAGTTTGATTTATCATATCATACATGTAATATACACCAAAGGTTTATGTTAAGTGATATAATATTTTTATTAATTGATGGGTTCCTCTTGAACTCCATCTATAGGAGGCAAATTATTATAGTACAATTTAAGCTATCATGTGATTTGGGAAGATGGACTCCACAATGCCTTAGCATAGGTCTGTATATCTCTGCTTTTGGTGTCTGTTATGCCTAATGCAGGTCGTCTTCCAAGTTTCAGTCCATATGTTCCAAACACATGATAGCTCAATGCATCTGCAAGCACAACACATAATAACCTGATAGAAATACTGAAGATAAAGACTGTCATGGTGACTCCTGGCATGTGAGTTTAGTTTCTATGCCTTTTGTTTGCTAATATTGTGATGACCATAATCTGATCTTACGTATTTCATTAGCTGAACCCCTCTCCAAGTAAGAGAAACAACACTAGCTGGAGTGAAATGTAAATTGTGGCGAGAGACAGAGAATTCAGTTTTCTATCCACCCTTCTACCCTACCCTGTCTTGGAAACAGTGAGGGTGCTCAAGTATTCTCTGTGGAGGGAATGAACGAGCGTGTGAATATTGCTGTTGGAGCACATAGAAGAGCGGGAGGCGCTTGTACCAGCAGGAGCCTGGCTCCACATCACCTAGCTCTTAGTACTCATGAAGGGAGGAAAGAGATTTGAGAGACACCAATTCTCACTTTTAGGCCCATATAAACTCCCCAGGCCTGTGGACCCAGTGAAAATGTATGTGCGTTTTTCAAAGGAAATAACTTACATGACGCAGGCAAACTGGGCTGAATAGACACCCCCCAAATGTTAAGGATTTATGAGTTCTAAGCAGGTCAGATCCAGCCACGGAAGAGTCATGAGTGGCAGAGGAAAGAGAATCATAACATTCTCTGGAAAGGTCAGTATGGAAAAAAAAAAAGAACTCTATGTATTTACATGTATTTGTTTATTTATACTCTGTAACTACTTTCTGATTACAAAGAACACATACCATATGGAAAGACTAAACAGAAGCAGCATTTTAAAAAAGTCAGTTATGTGGAAAATTCATTTTTGACTTCCGTAGGCAAGGTAGTTAAAACAGAAAACAATAAAGAGAATGCTAGTCAGAAGCCAGCTACTGAGTTTGGGTGAGGTATTACCGACAAAACATCTTCGAGTTACTTCTCAAAGCACGATGCTAGACTTGGAGTACAACTGCATATGTTGTTTTAATACAAATAGTTATATTTGATAGAAAGATCTTTTATTGTACCAGTTTTAGTTAGAGAAAAACTCCCTGCTATTAAGATGTATATGGTAATAATAGATGACTTCTGAGATCCAGAGACTACATCAAGAACATCAAACACTCAGATTTTAGGATTAGGAAGCCTTGGGAAATCCCCATAGTTCACCAGATTAGGGCAGGTATTGGGGTGAGATTAGTCACTGAACAATTTCAAATCTAATTTTACTGTGGGAGAGAAGACTTCTACTTGACCTATCAGATCACAAGTTGTATCATCTCATCAGAGAAATTCTGTAAAGTGTGTCTTGTCCACACATGGAAATAATCTTAGACCTCAGTATTTCATCTCATGGACATGTCCAGCAAATCTTAAAGCCTGGAAAAAGCTGATAGCCTAGATAGTCTTCATAAGTGCTTGTCCTCAAAACATGTAAGAATTAACCCAACCTTTCTTACAAAGCCCACATCAAAATGGCCATTGTCCTTGTCACATATTTAGGCAGAGAGAGGCCCTCTGGTTAAGCTTCGTGGGCTACTCTTGGTTAGTTGAGGCATGGGTGCTGCTGTCAGGATAAGACAGCGCCACAGCAGCCACTGGGGATGGACCTCTGGCCAGTGAGCTGGATTGAACTCATGGCGGGGACTCAGAATTCTACAGACAAAGAGACCTGAGCCAAGACCACAGCCACAGGAGGAGTTGCATACTCTTTCCCTATCACTCTATGCAAGCCAAAGTAAAGGACCATGAGCTCACCAGCTCCAGACTGTGGCCAGGAATGCAAGCAGGCTTCTAGAGATCAGATAGGAAGTGGATTCAGCAACGGGAGTGTCAGAAGATAATGCAAGGGCTCCACATGAATCTGAGAAGTCCTACTTACTCTCATAGCCAGTAGGATCCATTAATTGCATTCACCTTTCCTCACACACCAGGACATCATCTTAGGGGAAGAAGCAGGGGGGTGAATACATAAGAGATTGGGCATTTTATCCAAATGGAAGAATGAACACCAACTGAGAAAGACAGCTTAAATTATCAGGCCTGACAGCTCCAAACTTGATGGGAATTTAATTAATTTCTCTTCTCTACCTCATTCACTACTGATTGAGGGCTTGGGAAGGAGCCTAGATAAGCTGCAACCAATATAAAAAAAAAAATTTTATTTTTATTTTATATACAAGAGGTATTGTGATAGAAATTCTGTAACCCAGCTACACTTAAAAGATCCTAGATTTTCACTTAAATGTCTGCCATCAGTGATCCAAGGAAATGTTAGAAACTTCATATGCCAATCTGAGCATCAAACAAGTATTGGTTGCAATAAGTCACATTAATCTTCTTCAGTACCTACCATGCAATATAACTCTAACTCCAGAGGATAAGGTGCCTGCAGTGTATGGATTTCTCACAGCTATGTCTCTATTTCTTGAAGGGATATTTGATGCACAAAAGCTGGTCCCAGTAGTACTGCCAATATCTCAAGTCTAAATCCCTGGCCTAGTTCATGGACCACGCTCAACAGGGGCCCAAACAGAACCAGTTTCTCTCTCTGAGAAATTTAAAATTTGAAACATAGAAGGCCACTTGCAGGGGCTTGTTGAAACTGAGTGCATTCACATCAGCACAGCAGAAGACACATGAATTTTATTTCTTATTCCAGAAGACCTAGAAGCCAGCTGCCTTTCTTCTCCTTCCACAGCCTGGTTGGTCAACTCATGTCGAGTTCCTTGAAATGCCACAGTGTTATCTTAGTCAATATCCTCCCTTCTGCTTAAGTTTGTGAGAGTTCACTTCTGTTGTTTTCAACTTAAGCGTATTCTATGCTACCTATGAACGTGTGAGAAAAATTCTCACAAATCAGTATAACATTTGAGAACTTCCACTGTGTAGTCTAAGGAAGGAAGAATAGAGATGGTGAATGCTCACTTAGTCTTGGACTTGTGCCCACATACTAAAACTGAAGTGTTGTTGAATTTGGTAACGGTTGTAAATGTTCACTATTTCAACCAGACATTTTCTAGAAAGGCACATAAATGCCTTCAGGAATGCCAATAGTTTATAACACAAGGATGTCATCTTACAGAATTAAGTGTTTTAGGGTATTGTCCATAGAGTAACTTTCCAAAAGTTATGCAATGTTTCTTCTATTCTATTGGTATGTTTATTCATGTAAAACATGTATCAGATTGACTGTAAGCAGAAAACTAACTTAGAATTCAAGATAAACTCAAAAGAATCAAGCAGTATCATAACATTGAAGAATAAAGGCAGAACCAAGCCACTACTATAGAGATCTAGACACAATCAGGATCTAATTATTTCCTACATAGAGACCAAGGCGAGAGTTTTGGGATACTCAAGGAAAATGAAGAGAAACCTCAATTTTTAAAACATAAATTATTTTGAAGTTTCGCTACTAAAACATGGTCTTTAGACAGTGCTATTAAATCAAATTTCTCTCCTGGGGAGAGAGGAAAAGAAAAGCCACCCAGCCTGCCTCACACAGATCAGGTGTTGCTCAAGTGATGAGGAGAAGGTTTAAAAATATTTCTTCTGCTTTTCATCCAGAGCAGCCTTCCAACACTTCGAAGGAACCCCAATTGGTAATTGAAAAAGAATAGGTAGTGTGATTAATAAGGCATAAAACAAGGCTTGGTCCTCACTTGAAAGTCCACCTTGTAATGTTTTATGTATTATAGAGTAACACAAATTGTTAGTACTATCATACATACATATATATGTAGATAGGTAAAATAGAAGAATGAATATAGAAATAGACTACTGTAGGGGAGAAGGCTTCATCCCATTGTTTCAATGGTTTGTTCTGTGTCTGTGCAAAGGGCAAAAGAAGGTGAATGTAGCTGTACCATTATCACCCGCCCACATTAAGGATGCATTTAATCCCCTCTAGTCCATTACAGACTGCTGTGCGTTTCACTTCCAGACTATTTATGCTTATTAAAAAAAAAATCCTTGAATCTTTCAATATTAAAGAAGGTTTTAAAGGAAAACAATATGTTTTGGAACTGACATATTTTTCAAAGAAGCAGTAACTATTTATGGGCCAGCTAAATGATGACTGAAAGTGTTTTTTTCTTACCAGCTATCTATTATCTATTAGTATTTGGAGAGCGTAAACACTAATGAAGGTGAGGAACTAGGTGAAACAAGGGGATAGGGTTTAGAGTAATGGGATGAAATTAAGAAAGGGGAAATTTAGGTTGATTACCTATTACCAATTGAACATCTTCTTAATGTTGAGGTCTATTAGACTGTAGGGTAATCTTCCAAGGGAAGTGGTGGGACTCCGATTGCTTAGATGTTTAAAATTAGAGTGGACAGAGCACTATCAAGAACACCCTGTGGTGAAAGATCCACCCCGTTGTGTGGAATGAGTGAGTTCACCTTGGTTGCCTTTACAGGCTCAAGCTTCCGTGCGGCCTGGGGAGAGAGGGGAAGCAAAGCCACTCGGGCCTGTCCCACACAGATCAGGCTTCGCCCAGGTGATGAACGGAAGGGTTTAAAAATATCTCCTCTGCTTTTCATCAGGAGCAGCCTTCCAAACACTTCGATAGGAACCCCAACGAGGCAGTTATGTTGGCAACAAACACGTTCCCAAGATACGCTTTCCACCTGAACAACTGACATCTTTCTGAGTCTTAACAAAAAACAATATTTCATGTCATGTGGCACTCTGACTTTCAGTAAAGTAAAAATTAGAGTGGCTACCAAGTGACTTTGTAATAAGATGCCTATCAGGATATTTGTGGGTGTATATGTTTTCTCATTCCTGAAAGACAAAGGTATAGAGGGAACGGGAGATGAAAAAGAGAGTTTGGAATTGAGAGAAAACAGGTCTGATTAGTAATTGATACAAACCCTGCCATGTTCCGGAGTCCTACAAAGGTTAATATCAGTGGTTGCTTCAAGAGTAGGCATTTCCCTTTGTTCCCCAGGGAGCCCGTCTCAATACCTGCAAGTCAACTTCAGAAAAGGGTCTTGAATTTAATGGGAACATGTCTGAAAATTATGATGTTAGAGCAGATGCAGTTATATCCTCTCATTTTAATGAAATATTATTTTGTGCTCTTTGATAGGCCTTCTGTCAGTAATAACAAAGTGGGAAAGAATATTAGATCCACATGGTATTAGATAGTGTCTTTTCAGAATACTTTATTATTCTGGGTTAAATAAGAATATCTAGCTTCAAAAGAAAGCCAGAAAAATTATGACATGAGCTAAGGCATACCTGTATATAAATTGTTGATCTGAGGGGATGGGAGGAGCCAGAGACGTGAGTGATGAAAATCAGACACGCAGCACCCCATAGCCTCTCATATCTTGAGGTGATACCGGAGAGTCGAAACATCAAGCTGAGGGCAGAGACAGCTTGTGTCCTGGAAGTATCTATTAAGTAAAATGGTCTTCTCTGTGAGGCCGAATGCCAACAGGCCCCTTCTTCCTTCACCTCTGCTCTACCTGCCTAGTAGCCAATGGTTACAGAAGTAATCCTTAGTCTACAGAGAAAGTAATTTGGGGCAAGAAGAGATAAGCATAATGCAGGGCTTCCATTTCTCCTTTGACAAGTGTGTGTGCATGAAGCAGGAGAGTTAAGAGAAGAGATTACAATTGTATCTTACATGTTCCGTGGGCCATTCTGGTTTCCCATTTCCTCCCCACAATGAATTCTTTCTGTTCATATGAGTTTAATGTTTTTTCTTGATTACACATTTCGGCAAGCTAAGTCAGTCAATAAAAATACCTAACTCCTACCAACTAGTTTCACACATGAAACGAATATTTTCCAGAAAAAAAAAAAAATCTTTTTTTTTCCCTTTGGGGGGAAAATTTCCTCAGAAACTTGTGGTTATACACAAGGAAATATATGTTTCAGAGTTCACTTACATGCAAACTATTACCTTTTTTTTTTTTTTTTTTGAGATGGACTCTCATTCTTGTTGCCCAGGCTGGAGTACAGTGGTGTGATCTCAGCTCCGTGCAGCCTCCACCTCCCAGGTTCAAGCAATTCTCCTGCCTCAGCCTCCCAGGTAGCTGGGATTACAGGTGCGTGCCACCACGCCTGGCTAATTTTTGTAATTTTTAGTAGACATGGGGTTTTGCCATCTCGGCCAGGCTGGTCTTGAACTCCTGACCTCAGCATGATCCACCCACCTCAGCCTCCCAGAGTGCTGGAATTACAGGTGTGAGCCACCACGCCTGGCCACATTCAGCCTATTGCTTAAACTTGTTGCTTAAAACAAGCCCCACATTGGTGGTTATTTATCAGGAATGATATTTTGAGATCAACTGTTACCTCTGCTCTGAGATCAAGGTGCCCAGCAGTTGACAACGTGTCCTGACCACAAGGCTGCGGCCAACCTCCAGAAAGCGGCGCTGTGACTGCACTACCCTCTGAGTGTGCCAAGGCTCGCAGCAGTTTCCACATCATAAGCCAAAGAGAGACCAAACTGGAGAGGAAGTGCAAAAACACCACATCCACATCTGTTTTCCATTCTTGGCCAAGCTGACAAAAGAGGTGCCTAGGTGACAAGCTAAATTTTTCAAAATAAGAAAGCAAGTGGTTTGCTTTCATAAAAGTGATTGCTTGTAATCCCAGCACTTTGGGAGGCTGAGGAGGGTGGATCACGAGGTCAGGAGATCGAGACCATCCTGGCTAACATGGTGAAATCCCGTCTCTACTAAAAATACAAAAAATTAGCCAGGCGTGGTGGCGGGCGCCTGTAGTCCCAGCTACTCAGGAGGCTGAGGCAGGAGAATGGCGTGAACCCGGGAGGCGGAGCTTGCAGTGAGCCGAGATAGCGCCACTGCACTCCAGCCTGGGTGACAGAGCTAGACTCTGTCTCAAAAAAAAAAAAAAGTAATTGCTTTTGGTCAAGATTCCAGCCTCCTAAAGAATGCGTGTGTGCTCACATTCTGAGAAATTCCAAGATCATCAGTTAGGGAATCTTAAAGTCAAAATACGGAATCTAAGTAATGTTATTTATCTGAAACAAAACCAACAAGCCTCACTGCAGAAAAAGCAACACTCCTGGAAATATTTCAGTCACTCAAATTTACCTTCACAATGGATATATCCAGTATTAACACTTCCAAATGCTTACTTCTTATGTTCAATCAAGGAGATAATTTTTTTCCTAGATCTGAACTTTGTAATATACTTTTTAAGATGATATTAGTTTATATGTAAACATAATTTCAATTTCAAAGCACACGGATGTTATTTTTACCTTTTAAGAAATGTTCAATTTTTATTAACAAAAAATAAGTTGATTTAATTATAGCTTAGTTTTATTTAACCGACTGGTAAAAGAAAAGTTAAGTTGAAGCTATGCATCAATACAGTTCACATTTCATAATAAACTTGTTCATAAAAATATATTTTGAAAATCATTACCACTTAATGTATTTTCCATCATACTTGCTGAAGTAGGCCTTCAAATGGGAACAGAATATTCATGCCCCATAAAAATTTTGATGTCATCTTTTGGAGTGGAAATTAGAGATACCCCCATACTGATTGTTTTGTTGACAGGTAGAGTGTTTAGAGTTTATTTTTCAGGACATCCTTTATGTTCCAGCGATCTCTTGGAATTCTAACTTCTCCCTGTGACTCATGTATGCTCCACCCCCGCTTAGATACACCACAAACAGCCCTGGCTGCAGTTGGCATGAATTGTGCTTTCTCTCTATTGGATCCTTTTACCAACATCTGTTAAAGCTTTAAAGGACTCACTCACAAACCCATGCGTGGGTCTTAGTATCCACAAAGGTTCTAGTAGCTTTGCTCCTCCTTGAAGTCTTCCTGGAATGGCTTCCATTTGCTTGCGTGGTAATATGCAGTATCTGAATAGCAGCTGGCAAAACAAAGAAGTAAGACAAGGCCGGCATTCACTGTGAGCATCTCCAACTGATAAGAGTTCGTTCCAAGGTGTGTCTCTGTGGCCTTTGAAATGTGCTGGCCTCTAGGCTGATCCCTGAGAAACCCTACATCAAAGGTCAGCAAAGCCTCAGCTTACTCCACATTGCAGTCCTCTCATTCAAATTTAGAGGAGGCCCTCTGTCATAGGCAGGCCGGGTGTGGCTGTCTGTCCTTTACAGATGAGGAAAGGGAAGCATTCAAGCTAAGTGTCATTTCCAAAGTCACAGAACCAGTAAGTAGCATGAATCAGCATTCAAACAAAGTGTTTTGACTCCATGCTATTTCTTAGCTTATCCTCTGATTAACTTAGTCAAAATATGTCCTTCTACTTTTGGTTAACAAGGGAGGATTTGAGTCAGCATCTCAAAAGTGAGGCAAGAAGAAGCTTAATAATACTAAACGTCAGAGACTACGGTTTAGTCAAGTTTTGTATTCCTGCCCCACCATGGCACCACAGTCAATGAAATGGATGAAGGCAGATGCAAGGGAGGAAGCACACAAGAGTGGATAAAATTCACTAGTTAAAAACTGCTTTGCAAATACGTGCAAAAAAGATTATGTAATTTTGCTGACAAGATATACATGTGACCAAAAAAAAATAACATCAGCGCTCCTGAAAGAGCATTAACAGTCCCCCATCTTAAATCGTAGTTGGAGTCAGGATCAGCTGCAAAATTTGTGGGCCCAGCGCAAAATGGGAATGTGGGGCCCCTTGTTCAACAATGATGAAGAGTTTCAAGACAGTCATGCTAAAGCATTAAACCCAGCATGGGGCCCTGCGTGACTGCAGAAGTCCCACACCCATGAAGCCAGTCATGGGCAGCATCACCTTTTCTGCATGTTAGTCAGTTCTGCTTCAAGGACCAGATTTCAAGCTCAAAGTAAAGGAAAACTACCTACCAATTAGGGCTGTTTACAAATAGAGCAGATTGCTTTGTTAAGCAGGTGTTTGCCCTTCAGTGGAAAGTTCAGACAGAACCTGGAAGAACATCTGTCAAGGATGTTGAAGAAGGGATTGATCCCCACGTTAGGACAGAGCCAGATTTGACCTCACAGGTCCCTTCTCATGCTAAGATTCTGTGAGTCAGATAATTTTCATCATTGTCAGATTTTTTTAAAAGAGCCACGTTATGTGATTCATTAATGCCACTGAAGAAGCCTACCAGATTTCCCGATACCTTAAAGAGGTACCATAACATCTCAGTGCCGGAAAGTCTTGTCATTATGGTCATTTGATAGAGTAAACGTGTCTGTACACACCTGAGCATTGACAGTATCTGCACAGTTTGAAAGGTGCTTGATAATGGACCTGACAGACAGCAAAGGAGGCTTGGGTATTTGATTGCTTCAAAATCTGTGTGTCTGTCGATGCTATGCAAAGCTTAAGGTCCACTTGCAGATGAAGTCTCACAACTAAAACTTTTTGGTCACTGTGAGTCTGTGGTGTCACTGTAATTGTGGTGTCATTACACAGAGAAGCTAAGAAACTAGAAGGAAATATTTGAAAGTGCCACAGTTATAATATTGACATAAAAATTAAGGTGAGGGTCCACAGTTAAAAAATAGCAATTGCAGGATCCCCAAAGAAACCAGGCCACACATACAGTGGAGTAAAAGAAACTAGTCAGTTTCTCAACTCACATTGGATCCTAGGACCAAAGCAACAAGAAAAGTATGAAACTACCAAAGTCTTACCGTTTTGCCCACGTAACAGAATCATTAACAATATTAACATCTTATACTTTTATGGAGTCCCCTCAGGCTGTTCAGTTGTTTTAAATCTACTTAACATGAGTGAAATTCACCCTGGCTAGGAGTTAAGTTGATGTACTCCTGTTTGCATCCAAAGCCGTCATCCAATAGCATTTGCCATTGCCATTTTGTTAATAAAATAAGAATGGCATGGGTTTCTAGCATCCTGGATTTTTTGTTGAGCAAAGCAGCACGGTGCATGAAAGGCATGTCAAGAGATGTGACGTAAATGGAAATGGCAGAGTAGCATAATGCAGCACAACAGGTGCACAAAATAGATGTTCAAAATGGTTTCTATTATTTGGCTTTTTTGGAATCAAATCAGAATCAAGAACAATAGTGGCCATTTCAGATAAATTACTTCTGCACATTCTTGCAGATTGAGCAGCTGTAAAGGAGGGGAGGGGGAAGTTTGGGGTGCTTGCTATTTGGAAGGTGGATGCAAATACATTTGTAATGTGTATACAGTATACTCTGTATATTAAATTTTTGCCTTTCATGTGCAATGATAAAAGTAGTTTTCCTTGCACGATTGCATGTTTCATTAATACTACATTTTAATAATTAAAAAGCACAACTCTAGAGGCAATAGCTAACATAAAAGTTTACAGACAATCCATTATTTTTCTCAGACAGTCCTTCTGAAGAGCCCATGGAGATGTGGTTTAATGATTTAAGTTCTAAAATGGGTTGTTTAATAAAATATTGGGTGCTTATGTAGTTTTGTTCCAGCAGGCATTATCTTTTCTTTTGTCAGGTGTGGTGTTATTAATGATAGGAGGTGGGGTGATGGACGGGTGCTCCCCTCTGCTCATCATTATCCACTTCTGCCCACTCTCTGGCTATTTTTGTTGCATTATGGTTACTATTTGTAATTTTTAATGTTGGGAAAGGAGAGGTTTGTTGTCTTTTTAATCCTCTTTGCTAGCATATTCTATTTTATTAGACATAATTCAGAGGAAGAGAGAGAAAGGGAGGTGGACATTGGTTAAGGGGGATATATAATTGGGTGTAGTGGGATTAAACTATTATTAGTGTACACTTCTAATGGATGCCCCATAAAGAACCTATGGCAAAGGCATTAATGAGTTATGAAGGAAGAGTAGGCAAGCTGAACAGTGTTCCCATTATCACAATCCTACCGATACACACACTGTTCAGCAACTCCCTGAAAGAAACACCAGACTCCTGATGTATTTAAGCAGAGTAATTTTCCTTCAGCATTATCTGTTCCTTTTAAATCTGCAACTTCCAATTTGCAAGACCTCTCTCACATGCCAATCTTGATATTCAGCTCTGCTCCAACCTCAAGCCTTGACTATTTTTTAAAAAAAATTCCCTAAAACAGAGAAATATACAAATGTGTATGAAAAATGGCCTCTTCTTTGATTAAAAAAGGAAAGAAAAGGCAAGATATGTGAACACTAATGCCCCCAGGTGATGGGAGTAGGAAGTGAGTTAAAGAGCACTATTTTTAGGTATTAAATATTCAAAAGTAAAAAAAAAAAACACACACACATTTTAAATGTGAAAACTATAATGCGCTTTGATGTCAGAGTTTAAAAAATAATCAGAGCTACATCCTTTTGCTTTGGTTCTTGTTGATGTTGCAGGTGAAAAATCAAAAAGAAAGTGAAAGTGCATAGGTTTTCACAGATAGATAGCATGCTTGAGGGTATTTGATAGCTTACTCTTTGGTTTAAGCATGTATCTGAGGGATTACTCTCCACTTAAATTGGGTAAATATGTATAGTGAATCTCTTCCACCTTATATTTTTTCCACCCGTCTTCTTCCAATAAAGTGGGGTTGCCTCCTCTTAAAGGAACATATTATAGATTGATGACAACAGCAGAGAAGCCCTGACATATCAGCTAGAGTTACCTTTGCGTGATATTTTCAAACCTCACAGATTTTTGATAATACTTTTTATCTAAGATGGAACTACTACTGCACTTTACTAAAATTTATAATGATGCATGCTTGTATAATGCTTTTTCCCCGGTGAAAGCATCACCCCACAGGATGATTTTGTGGCGTCTTTATTTTTAAACTTGTGTAAAGAATTAGTACTTGAGTCTTGTTTCATTATAAAGTTTTGAATCATATTCTTTCCTAAATATATTTTTAAAAACAATTTTAAATTCTGTAGCTGGCTGTGTTTTCTGTGAATTCTCCCTACCTTTCTTCTGTGGAAGCCTATCCAGCAACTTGGAATGTGTTTGTAAAATAGGAAGGAAGCTAGGATAGTGTCCCAGTGGAAACTGAGCTCCCTCCCTAAATGGAATGTTTATGTAAGCAATTTCACACGATAAGGTTTACAGTTAAGGTAGCACACATCCAAGACCCAGGATTTAACCTTCCAAAGATGCAGTTTCATTTTTCTGATGTATCTTTTCGCTTGTATAAAATGGGTTTCAGCTCTCATACATAAACTACTAGGTAGAGAAATGAAAAGTTCTTTGCATGAAAAATAGTATTCTAAGGTATATGAAAACTTGGTGTTGGAAGTAATTTTCACTTTTTTTTTCCATTCGTTTTTATTGCTTTCCAAAGTGAAAACTCCATAGATTCAGAAGCCAAAGGGCCTTTTGAAAAATGCCACTTTCAGATTTCAGCCAACAGCCACAGCTGAATCGACAAGGAAGGGTTCTAACAAGACAGTTGCTTGCTGCCGGCTACAGTTCCCACTTTTGTTTCCTATGGAAACTAACAGGGGGCAAATTGAAAGAGTGATTATTTTAAGCCTCCACTGTCTTTCCTGATCCAGTGTCTACAGTATTTTCATAGAAAATGGGAGTAGGAAAAGCAGAGGAGATGTCAGGCCTTGTCAGTTTCAGCTGTGGTTGTTGGCAGAGAGCTGAAAGTTTTAGCTTTTCAAACAAGCTACAGAAATCTCTGTTCTTTCTACTTTTAAAACAAAAATGTTAGATGAACATCCGCTTCACCTTTACCTATCCCTTCCATGTCTTCCTTTATGCATCCTGATTTTTAGGAAGGAAAAATGACCCAATGGTTCATATGGGCAGTTATGAGGGAAAATTGCAGTGCCAAACTTTGTTCCAATAAATTAACCTATGAATAATGGATTCTGTCTAACTGTAGGACACTGTATCTGTGAATGCAAGTAACTGGTTTATTCCATTGGCAATTTATATCCTAACCCTTGGTTTTCTTGATTGTTTCCCTCCCTATGAGCATTTCTTTATTTAGAAATCTCATCTTTTATGGGGTTAGAAAAAAAAGGCATAAGTTACAACAAATATCAATTGCCCAGAAAACATGAATTAGTACCGATCATAATGCTAAAACTGCCTTAAATTAAGAATCAGTTCTGTCTTTGCATGGATAAAACTTCTCCTCCATTGTGAGTCACTTCTCTAGGCAACTTTAACCAAATCACTAAATTTAAATTTTAGGAATTCAGTATATTTCCTTATTTTTGATCCTCCAATTCTGGCCAGTCCTTTCTTTAATCACATAGTGGTTTAAATGAGTTTATAGTTTAATCACATTCCATTTTAAGATCTATCGCTAAATAGGGAATCGTTTCTTTGACTGTTTCATATAATCCTGCAAAAGGAGTTCTTATGATTGCTACTGATAGTATCTATTATTATTGGGTACTTTGTATGCACCAGGCACTTAGCATGCATTGTCTCTATTAATTCTCCCAACAATGTTTTGAGGTACTTACTATTATCCTTGTTTTGCAGATGAGAAAACTAAGGTAGGTTAAATAACTTTCGAATGTCACACACTAAGACGTAGAGTAGAATGCAAGCGCAGGCCTTTCTGACTCAGAATGCACGTTCTTAACAACTGTGCTATATCCCATTTTTGACCTCTGCTTGCGCACACATGAGGGAGAGAGGGTGGGAAATGACAGAAAACAATCATCCATGTCCTGCTTACACTGTAGGCAGGAAGAACACCCCACACTGTTAACCTGACACGTTGGACGGCGCAGCATATATGCTCATTATGGTGCTGCAAGGTAATTAGGAAGAATGAAAGCTGTTCACAGAAAGAGCTATAAATAGTCAGAGATGTGATTTGTCTTCTTACTTTGTGGCTCCCCAGCGTCTCTAGCAAGCCTGGGCGTCCGCGGCCCCCACCCTGCCCCTCCCGTCTTATCTGCAGAGGAGAGGCCTTGCTGTGGGAACGTCCTCACCGGGCACTGCTCCTTCCAAGGCTGCCTGGGGACCAGAGCCTGGCCCTGATGCTGACAGGACAGGGGCACACAGGAGATATGTGACCTCACAGGCATGGACACCACATCCCTAGCATCCAGGCATCTTGGGAGCAAAGGAGAGGGATCATGTTTACAGCAGGAGAAGGTGCTGGCCCAGATATGTTCTATGCCTTCTAAGACATCCTCTCCACTTCCCTACACACACACACACACACACACACACACACACACACGAACAAACTATGTTTCAATCTTGTCTCAGAGTCAAGAGTAGATCTCTATATTTAGGCTCCATCAGCTCAAAATTGCCTAAATTTTTTTGACAAGGCAAAAAAAAAAAAAGACATTCATCCTACAAATCACAGTTAATGCTATTACAAGTCAAATATCTACGAGCTTTAACAATTGATGTAAAGGTTGTATTTAAAGTTTGAACAAAGACTCCAAATTATTTCCCAGGTTGCAGGAGGTAGGGAGGGAAAGGAAGTCAGGTACCACTAAGACATTTATGACCTGGAGGTGAAGACCAGAGAGCAGACTGGACCCTTGGGATGGGGAGGAGAGGGCTGAAAAACACCTCTACTCTATGGCTAATCGCCTTGTATATGTACTGTCTATACTCCGAGGATTTTTGTCCACACAAGCTCATTTAGAAAGCTGGAAAAAAAATCCCTCAAAAGTATGCTTTCTGCTTTTAATAAAGAAAAGGGGAATTTTTTTTCCACTAAATTACTAACGTAAATTGCCAACTTCTCTTTTTTAAGAAAAATAAAATCTGATCTTTTAGACTCAACTCTTATTGATTCTAATTTGATAACAATATTTTTTGAGACAACTGTGTATATATTTCTTAAGAGGAACATTTTAGACTGCCAGAGCAAAACCCCCAAATGACTTCAAAAAGCCATTTTGCAAATCAAAAATGCATAACATTTTCATAGAGCAAATCTCCAAAACCTTATAATTAAAAAAAATTATAATCTACAAACCTGCACTAATCTTGATAGTGCATACATAGATACATAGGTGTGTGTGTGTATGTACATATATGTGCACACACACACACACATATTGAGAGTATGTTAGGGGCACATGCTCCGACGTCCGAGTCAACACTCTGGGTTTGAATTTGAGACATGCCATTTACTAATTGTATGAACTTGGATAAATTCCTTAGACTCCCTCTGCCTTGGTTTCTTTGTCTCTAAAATAGAAAACAATAGCAGGACTTATGGCCCTGGTACATGGTAACCATTATGAAAGTGTTTGCTAAATGAATAAAATATCATAATGGTCATAATTTCCCTCCAAACAATCTGATGAAGTACTGTGGTCCCCATTTTGTCTGATAAAGTCATTCAGGCTTAGAAGCTCCATTCCATCACAGTTCGGAGACACTGTTAATGTGGTGTTAATTCCAAGTCAGCCTGACCCCAAAGCCTGTGTTCTTTCCACTAAATCACATCGCCACTTTCCCTTAATTTAGACTTGTCAATGTATTTTCTTTCATATACCTACTGATGTTTAAGGCTTACATATATTTTTTTTTACTTGAAGATATTTTTAAGATATCATGGGTGCAAATTCTTTAATGATTATGTAGGCTTTTGTTTAAATTTGTCTTTTGAACTTATATTTTATGTAGTTTTAAAAATGAAGACAAATGAATCAATCATTTCTTGTAGTATCTTTTATTATAATTTAAGATAGTTTATTAAATTCAATGTTAAAAATATTTCTCTTATTTTTTCCTGAAATATTTAGTTTTGATTTTACTTTTAAAATACATCATATGCAATATATTTTTGCCAATAGTGTGAGGTAGGGATCTAATTTTATCTTTTCTGTATCTTTTTCTCCCTGTGGTTCTGGCACCTCTTATTAACAAGTCCCTTGTCCCTTTCCTTATCTGGCATCCCAGCTCAGCTTTCGTTGTGCTGTACTGAGCTCCCGTGTGTATGGGTGTGTGCACTTTGTCCCTGAGCTCCTGGTTCTATTCCAGTGGTCTACTTGTGTAACTATCCATGAGTAGCACTATGCTTCAGTCACTATAGCTTTATCATAAGCCTTGATACCTGTTTTCTTCTTTCCATTATTATACTTTTATGGATGATTTTGTCTGCATGATTTTAAATTCTCTTTTGCATCTTTCTACTTTCTTTGGGGTTTAAATGTTTATTCCTGAGGTAACCCTTCTTCAGTGATGCCTGTGAATGATAAACAATCAGAATCTTGGTCTCGAAATGTCTGAATTTCAAACCTAGTATCAAGTGATTATCGATATTTGAAATTCTATACTGACAATTTAGTTATGTTCTACTAGTCTGCTTAATATACTATCCCACTGTCTTTATTTCTGGCACCTGCTGAGTTTACATTTTAGAACTCATATTTCACATATTTAAAAGAATCTTCATTAAATTATATTTGGCTTTTCATTATCTGTGCCAGGAGGCCATTCATGCTATCTAATTTACCATACTTCCAGAACCAGAAATCAAAGAATCCTTTATCATTGGATCTCAGCCAGGTGCCATGTTGCAGGGGACATAAGGGAGATTATGGTGGGACGCTCCAAGACTAAGGTAGCCTTCTTCAGCCTACCTTTGAGGCATATCTTTGTGCTCAGTGATACATATTAGATGTGTTTTTCTTCCATGTGTGTTGTATTTCTCTTATGAAACACTTCCTGGATATTTGGACATTTTGGTGGATCGTTCATAGCATTCAAAGTCTAGGGGATAGAACCCTTTGGGACCAAAAACCCCACTATCCTTTTCAAGCTTTCCGGGCATTGGTGCTATCCTTGTGTCTCAATTGAGACGGACGATCCCATCTTCAGAAAACAGAATCCTGTTTGAGTCTACTTTGTATTCATATAATCTAGAATAGTTGACTGCACACAGAAAGGATCTTTTGAATGCTTGTTGAATAAAGGAATGATATAGAGGCAGGTGGAAGCAACAGGGATAAACCAACACGAATCAAGCAAGAATCCTAAAATGATGCACTTCTCTGTAGTAATCCCTTGGTCTCCACAAGGGGTTAGTTTCAGGACATCCTCCTAACTCCACTGACATTAAAATCCATGAATGTTCACATCCGTAGTGAGTTCTTCGGAACCCACAGATAGGAAAATTTGGCCCTCCATATCTGTGGGTTCCAACCCTTCGACACTGTGTTTCTCCTCTGGGGTTGGTTGAACCCGCAGATGCGGATCTCGTGGATGCAGAAGCCTCAGATACAAAGGGCCAAATGTATTTACAAAAAGTGATTTCACATGGAGAAACTCGAACTGCTTGATTTTAAACATGATTTTTTTTGAAGAAAGATATTGAAACTACGATATTTGTTTTGCTAAGAATGAAAATGTAGAGTTGTCCATGGACAGAAAAATATATTTCAAGGGTGACTTAAGCAGAAAGGAAAATTTGGTTCAGAAGAATAAAGCAGTATCAGGAGAAAAGAGCTTTGTAAGAGGGAGAGCATTTCCAGACTGTAGAGGATCACAAAACTGATTTCTCCCCAGGAATGCTGATTTTATTCACTTGGCAATTTTAATCTGAGGAGCATTATCAACAGAACAGGTCTGAGGGATGACTTAAATGTTAGGCATGCAATATGAATACACATAATGATTTGAGAAGCATCCATATTGTTGTAAATATATCAAGAGTCCATGATTCTTTATTATTGAATAGATTTCCATTGTATGAATACACTGCATTTTGTTTATCCATAAAACAGGATGGATATTTGGGTTGTTTCCAGATTTGGGCTGTTACAAATAAACCGGGATGAACATTCATGTACAAGTTTTTTGTGGACTTATGTCTCCATTGTCATTTTATATCATAAACACCTAGAAAAGATGGCTGCAACATGTGGCAGGAATTTGTTTACCTTTATTTAAAAAATGCCAAATATTTTAAATACTTGTATAACTTTACATTTGCAACAGCAGAGTATGAGAGTTCTAGTTCCTCCACATCCTCCTCAACAATTACAATGATCAGTTTTTTATATTTTAGCCATTCTAATATGTATGTAGTGGTATCTCATTGTGGTTTTAATTGATATGCCCTAATCATTAATGATGTTGAGCATCTTTCCATGGGCTTATTTGCCATCTATCTGCCTCTGTAGTGAAGTGTCTATTCAAATCTTTTCCCCATTTTTAATTGATTGTTTTGTTTTCTTATTATTGAGTTTTGAAACTTCTTTATATTCCGAATACTTAGTCTTTTTTCATATGTATATTTTAAAAATATTTTCTCCCAATGTATGGCTTGTCCTTCTTTTCTAAAAATAGGATCTTGTAGACAGAGAAAGTTTTTAATTTTGATGAACTCCAATTTCTCAGGTTTTTTTTTCTTTTTTAGATAGTGATTTTACTGTTGTATCTAAGAAATCTTTGTCTAAAACAATCACAGGGTTTTCTCTTGTGTTTTCTTCTGAAAGTTGTATAATTTTATACATTTTACATTTAGGACTATAACAGTTGGAGTTAATTTTTTCCAATGTTGAGATATATGGATAAAGTTTACTTTTGGGGTCTATAGATGTCTATTTTTTCCAGAGTGATTTATTGAAATGTCTATATTGTTTTAATATACATATGTTTTAGAACTTTTTGGTTCATTTAAATGTGCAATCTTTCTTTTGTTTTCTCCTTTGTTTTGATGCTTAGAAAAGCCCCCAACTAGAGTTCAAGTAAATTACATTCTACAAAAACTTTTTAACTTCTTCTTCATCTTTTTTTCTCTATTCCAAGTTTTTATCCAAATAGAATTTATTGTGGTAGACAGTGACAAATATATAAATGTATCTATTTCTATGTCTATTTTTATATACATACATGGTGTTGTTGGTCAATGTATTACTAGAATTAAGAACTCTACAAGACTCCATACACCAAAATGGTGTCAAGTGATTTTAGAAGTCACATGGAAAACTAAAACTGAAAATACAAGAACACACAAGTTTTAGTTAGAGTGGGATGGAATTGAGATATAATCTATTACCACATAAACAGATGATATAAAATTATTATTGAATATCAAATGTAACCTTTCATACTAATACATTTGGAAATATTGAAGAATCTAAGAAAATATAAAATGACAAAATTGGATGAAAAAAGTTGAAAAATTGAATATAAAAATAAACATGGAAGAAATTGGAACTGTTTTCAAGGAATTACCTCATGAAATGCTCTAGGTCCAGATGTCATTAGGGGTGAGTTTTTTCAAAAAAGTTTCAAAGTATATAAACTGAATCAGAGCACAAAAAAAGAAAGTTTCCCAGTTATTTTTGCAAAGCTAGTACAACACAAAAACAAAACACAGTTTAATCTGTGCATATGGGTGTAAAAAGTCCTAAACCATATTAGAAGATCAAATCAATCAAATCTAGCAGTACAGAGAAAAATGAATGTGCCATAAGCCATTGGGCTTTATTCTAAAATGTGATGGGTAGTTCATCATCAAAAATCTAGTAATATAAACCAGTAGAGAAAAACCTCATGATTACCAGTAAAAATCTCCAAAGATCTATGTTTTAAACCTTTAAAATTTGAGATAATTGTAGATTCACACATAGTTGTAAGATATAATATATAATAATAATACAGAAATAATATACCCAGTTTTTCTAACATCTCACATAACTGTAATACAATATCACAAGCAGGACATTTATATTAATAAAATCTGTATACCTTCTTTAGATTGACGGACATTCATTTGTGTTTGTTTAGTTCTATGCAATTTTATCATTAAGTGTGGATTCACAAGACTCCACCACAGTCAAAAAGCAAAACAATTCCACAATAAGGATCACTTATGCTACCTTTCATAACCACAGCCACTTCCCATGGCAACCACTAATCTGTTCTCTATTTCTATGATTTTGTCATTTTATTTTCAAGAATCTTACGTACATAGAATCATAAAATATGTAACCTTTCTGAGACTAGCTTTTTTTACTCAGCATAATTCCTTGAGATCCATTCAAGTTGTTACGTGGATCAATAATTGTTCGTTTTTGTTGTCAAGCGGTATTCCCATGCTATGAATGCACCACAATGTTTTTAGCCATTCACTTGTCAAAGGCCTTACGTATTGTTGCTAGTTTGGAGCTGTTATGAATAAAGCTGCTGAATAAATTTATGTACAAATTTTTTTGTGAACATAAGTTTTCATCGTTCAGTTGCTAAAACTGAGTGCAATTGCTGGGTCCTGTGGTTTGCTTATGTTGAGCTTTTTGATCAACTTCCATACTCATTTTCATTTTACATTCCCACCAGCAATGTATGAGTGTTCCAGTTTCTCTGCATCCTCACTGGCATTTGGTGATATCAGTTAGCCATTCTTCTAGGTGTGTAGCAATGTAGCCTTGTGATTTTCCTTTTCATTTCCCTAAAGGCTAATGATGTTGAACATTGTTTCATGTGCTTTATTTGCCATCTGCGTATCTTCTGCAGTAAAATGTCTGTTCATATCTTTTGCCCATTTTCTAATTGGATTGTTTGTTTGCAAATATTTTCGACCAGTCTGTGGCATGTCTTTTCATCTTCTTAACAAGGTTTATTCAGAGCAAAAGTTTTATTTTTGATGAAGTTCAATTTATCAGTCTCTCTCTTTATGGATTGTGCTTTTAATGTCATGTCTAAGAACTATTTGTCTAGCCCTAATTCCTGAAAGATTTCTCCTGTGCTTTTTAATAAAAGTTTGATATTTTACCACATTTAAACTTGTGATCCATTTTGAGTTAATTTTTGTAGAAGGTGGGAGATTTAGGTGGAGGATCATTTTTTTTTATATGGATGCCCAATTTCTCCAATACAGTTTATTGAAAAGGCTATCCTTTACCTACTGAATTGCTTTTGCACCTTAGTCAAAAATTAGTTGGGTATATTAGTGTAGACTATTTTTGAGTTCTCTATTCTTTTCTCTCTTCCTTGTCTATCCCTCTGCCAGTACTTCACTGTCTTCAATTATTATGTAGTGAGCTTTAATATCTTCTTACTTTATTCTTCTTCAAAATTGTTTTTAGCTATTTTATGAGCTGTGCTTTTCCACTTAAATTAAACTTGTTTATGTCTACAAAAACCATTGCTGAAGTTTGATAGAAATTGCACTAAGCTCATAGATCTATCTATTTGGGGATAATTAACACCTTTATTATGTTGGGTCTTCTGATTCATTAACATTGTGTGTATTTTTATTTAGTTAGGACTTCTTTGATTTTATTCATCAGTAGTTCATAATTTTCAGCATTGAAACCCTGCACATATTATGTTAGATTTATAACTATTTCACTTTCTTTGTTGCAATTAAATTATACCTTCTATTTTTGATGTTGAGTTCTACTCGTGTTATTGGCTTATAGAAATACAATTAATTTTTCTGTGTTGATTTCATATCCTGTAACTTTGCTGAACTCCTCACTTATTAATTATTCGAGATATTTTTGTGATTCCTTGAAATTTTCTATGTACACAGTAATGTCAACTACAAATGGGGCAGATTTTTTTTTGTCCTTTTAGATATTCATGCCTTTTATTTCTTATTGCATTAGTAAAACTTCCAGCTCTATGTCAAATAAGAGTGTAGAAAGCAAACCTCCTTCCTTGATCCTGATCTTAGGGAGAAAAATTTAATTTTTTATTATTAAATATGATGATAACTATAGGTTGTTTGTAGATGCTTTTTATCAAACTGAAGAAGTTCCTCTCTATTCCATTTTTCTGAGAGTTTTAATCATAAAGGTCACTGAAATTTGTCAAACGATTTCTCTGTATTGATATGAGTTTTCTTTTTAGTTTGTGATATGATATATTACATTAATTGATTTTTGCATGTTGAACCAGTGTTTTATACTTGAAAGAAGTCCCAATTGGCCATGCTGTATAATTCTTTTTATACATTTTTAAATTCATTTTGTGATTTTTGTTGAGAATTTTTATGACCAACTTCATGAGAGAAATGGGTCTGTAATTTTTATTTTTTGTCCTCTTTTTGTCTAGTATTAATATCAGGTATTATTATTTGTCTCATAAAATGAGTTAGGAAGTGTTCCCTCTTCTATCTTCTGAAAAAAAATGTGCAGAGTTGGTATTAATTCTTTAAATATTTCTTAAAATTTTTCAGGGGAACCATGTAGGCTTGAAGGTTTTTGCTGTGTGTGAGCTTTTTATCTACAAATTCAATTTCTTTAATAATTTATGACTATTCATAAATTATTTCACCTTAGCTGATTTTGGTAGTTGCTTTGCAGAATTAGTGGCTTTGCAGAATTAGTCCATTTCTTCTAAGTTGTTGAAATTATGAACATAAATTATTACATAGTATTTCCTTACTTTCTTTGTAATGGCTGCAGGATCTGCCACAATATCCCTTGTTTCACTCCTGTTACTAATGATGTTTGTTTCCTCTCTGTTCGTATTTATCTTCTTGAGGTTTATCCCCAAGGAATTCACTTTTTGTTTTATTGATTTTTATCTATCTTTTTCTGTTTTAAT